>NC_000006.12:104161699-104313214 GCF_000001405.40 Homo sapiens | reverse complement strand
TTAAAAAAGAGTCAAAAGTTAAAGTTTATAAAATAAAAAAGTTACAGTAAGCTAAGGTTAATTTATTATTGGAGAAAGAAATTAAAAATGAGTGTAGCCTAAGTGTACAGTGTTGAGAAAGTCTACAGCAGTGTATAGTAACGTCCTAGGCCTTAATATTACTCATCACTCACTCACTGACTCACTCAGAGCAACTTCTAGTCCTGCAAACTTCACTCCTAGTAAGTGCCCTATACAGGTATGCTATTTTTATTGTACCTTTTCTATGTTTAGGTATTGATAGATACTCAAATACCATTGCGTTACAATTGCCTACAATATTCATACAGTAATATGTTGTATGAGCTTTTATCTTAGGAGCGATAGGCTATACCATATAGCTTAGGTGTGCAGCAGGTTACACTATCTAGGTTTGTGTAAGTGCATTCTATGATGTCTGCACAAAAATGAAATCACCCAAAGACATATTTTTCGGAACTGTCCCCATCATTAAGCAACACAAGACTGTATGATAGTTGCCCTAGCTATTTTGAGTGGAGGTTTGGCAGTAATCCTACCACATCCTAAATCATGAGTGACCTGGGTCCTTGTAGTAGAGTGACATGAAAGTTACAGTGGTTTATTGTTAGAGTATCCTATTTATAACACATTCATTAATATGCAATTTATCCTTAAATGATTTTTTCCTGTTTTGTGCCGTTGTCTTCCGGATGTCTCGTATTCTGTTTCCAGAGTTTGAGAACTTCTCCTACTATATCACTTCTCTGCTTTAACCTTTAGTATATCTTTATTGCTTAAAGAATAAAATATAATTTCCTCAGCCTGTCATTCAAAAACTTTCCTAATTTGACTGTTTTCCTAGTTTTATCTCTACCTCTCCCCTGCGTCTTACATTCTTGCCATATCTTATTTTTGCCACTGCCCTGAGCATAGCCTGACTTCTCCATCTCTGGGCTGTTATCACACTGATCCCCCTGTGCCTTCTGCTTTATCTCCCTTTGAGAAGTCTACCTGTGTCTCTTAGTCTTCAAAGAAGGTAATGATGCCGTAATGCCACATATAATTACAATTAATTATTAAAAATATTAGGAAAATTATCTTTTCTTTGCAAATATATAAAATTTTAGGCTTATATTTAATAATAAAACCAGAGAGCTTCAAATTATAGCAATTTAGAGTGTCAAATTTGGCCCAATTGAGCTCAGAGGGTATAATAAAGATATCATGCCAATTTCAGCAAATTGCACAGTTTATATCTATTAACACCTTCCCAGTGTGAAACTACCTCCTTGTGAGGACTATTAGCTCTCTCCATAAATGATTCAGACTGTGGAAGATGCAATATTACTGGTATTTGCAGTTTAAATAATGGTAATAATAATATCTAAAATATAGCTATATTGAGCAACAACACAAAAAACCAGAAACATGCAGACCTGTGACCATATACCACCTTATTTCTGCAAAACAAATTTGGGCTGATGATAGATCCCTCTTTCTCCTCTCTTCCATTTCTAAAGAACCTAAACATACAAACAAAGGAATCCCAAAGAACAAAATGTTAGCATTGAACTCTAATATCTCTTATAACATGCAACATCCGTTCCCATGTAGCTAATGTAATTTTGATTTTTAATCTACACATGACTCACTAAAGTCATGATTGAAATATTTATTATACTAGGGATGGATTGTCCTGCCAATTTGAAACTAAAGTTTAGTCCATGGGACAGGTAGCAGAAATCAGGCCTCATGTCATATCTCAGTTTCTCCTTTGCTTTAGATGTTCCTAGTAAGAGCAATATTTATTTTACTATATTGTTTTTGTATAAAATATGATAATTTATGTAATTTGGAGTAATATATGAATACCATCTAGGATTTATCCAAGATAATGTACTAAGAAGTATTTTAACAAAATATAGTGGCTGTAATAAAAGAATAAAGTATGGTCCCTCCTATTTCCACATTAATTCCAATCAGGACAGCAGCTATCAAAAAGCTAAGTTTACTTTAGCATTTTAAGACTCAGTACCTTAGCCTAAGCATCATCCTTCCTAGAAGACCCTGGAAGCTTTCGTCAAAGGAAGCATGTGACTTTGACTCTCAGAGCCTTGGAAGTGTTAAGATCTGCTACTTCCCCTCTGCAGTTCACCACTACAGATGAAAGCCTAGGAAGCTGAGAATCTGAAATTGGTAATTGAATAAACCTGCCTATATCATTTTGCTGGCAGGATTTGATTTAGAGGTGAGCAAATTTGTTTAAAACAAAATAACATTTTTGTTTAGACAAACCAAAGAAGGTATATTATATAATCATATTTTTCCAATCTGCCAAACAGGGAATACCAAGGGCATAGTTTGAAGGAGACAGTTAACATAAAGAGATGGCTAAACTGCCCAGCATAATATGTAATAAACATGTGATCGTTGGGGCGACAGGTTGAGAGAGGAGAGGGAAAGACAGGGAGGCTTGAACAACAGAATGGGACCTGATGGGAGGTACAGTTGCATGGTGGGATGGCTAGTGAAGCTTAAATGTCTGTATATTCTTTCTACTGATAGATCTTTTTTGTTCTCTGCATGGAAGGGTAGAATATCAGCAGCCTGGGCTACTATTCCGATGACACAGGCCTAGTAAGAATTAATGTTTACCTCTGGCCAATCAACTGTAGCTAGGATGGAGGGTAAAATAATATGGGTAATATTGTCACAGACCCACCCTTCATGCAATGGTGGCAATTTTGGAGAAAGGGGGTTGTTCTGATCTGGGTATATACCTCAAAGCATTTCTACAACAATTCTGCACCCAAGATAATGACTAGCACATAAAAAATTCCCCTCATTTTAGAAATGATTGTTACTTAAAATATTAGAATGAAACTGATAGTTATTGTAACATTCTTCCTGTAGCTTTCAATGTAGCCTATTACACACATGCTTGCTGTAGAGCAATCAGTGGTTTCTGGATCTAAAGGATAAGAAAGCTATGGAAGCCTCCTTCAGGAAATGGTATGAAACAAATTCATGTGTAACTACAAACAATGGCTATAATGGCAAGAATTATATGGAAAAAGGGTGTGTTATAGAAGTTTAGCAGAGGAAAAATATTAAATCTATTTGGGATCAATTGGAAAAGGCTTCATGAATATGGTACCATTTAAACTGCACCGTGAACGATGGCTTATATGCAAAAACAAACAAAAAGCTAAGACACAAATTGGGAGAGAGCATTCTAGGTGGAAGAAACTGCATGGATAAGGATGTGAATACAAAAAGCTGTGAAATATGAGCATAATTTAATAAGTGATATAGATATACTAGATCATTGACTATGTAATAAAATGTTTGAAAAGGATATTTGTTTGCAAAGTTTGGTAAGTAAATTAGGCAGAGCCTTAGATGACAGGTTTTGAAATCTAAGTATGATCTTAAATTTTGTATGTGTCTGCTTATCTTTATTTTGATCTAAATATAAGGAAAAGATGACACTTCATGGAGAGAACAGTTCCAGAATATGTCAAAGAAAACCTGCTCCTGCTAGGTTTTTTCAGGCCCAGCTGAGTGCTCAGGCATTCAACAAGGACAGAAGATAATAAATGTCAATAATACTTGACAGACAGAACACATGATATTATTAATAAATAGTAACTATTGGCCGGGTGCTGTGGCTCAGACCTGTAATCCCAGCACTTTGGGAGGCCGAGACAGGTGGATCACAAGGTCAAGAGATCGAAACCATCCTGGCCAACATGGTAAAACCCCGTCTCTACTAAAAATACAAAAATTAGCTAGGCGTGGTGGCTTGTGCCTGTAGTCCCAGCTACTCGGGAGGCTGAGGTAGGAGAATCGCTTGAACCCAGGAGGTGGAGGTTGCAGTGAGCCAAGATCTTGCCACTGCACTCCAGCCTGGTGACAGAGCGAGACTCGGCCTCAAACAAACAAACAAACAAACAAAAAAACAGATAGCAGAATCCCCATAAAGTGTTGTTTCCAAGAAACTCCAAATAGCATATTTCCACCTAAGCTTCTCAGAAGGAAAGTTTTGTCATGTTTTGTTGTAATGTAATTTTATACCAATTAAATAGAATATAGAAAATAAAAATACCTCAAAGTGCTCTTTAGGAGAAATAAAAAAGGAAAGGTGGAAGAAGCATTTGAATCTCACAACATTAGGAGGTAAACTCTTTCTCAGAAGGGGTGAAGGCTGCCCTCGACCTCTACGAGAAAACCTGCCTAGGTCAACATCCCAGAGAATATCCTGAGTCCAACTCAGGCATAGTAAAACAATCCAGGTTTGATGAAAAAGAATATTTCCAGACATCATAATACCATGTAATTGTTCTTTGGTTTAATGCAAATGCCTCAGATTTATTGAGAATGAAGATGGTACCGAATCAAACACAAAGGGCCATGTAAACAATAGAGCAACATCATAAATGTGTTTGGATCAAGATTGTCATGATTACTGTGAACTTTTATCTCTAACTCCACAAGTATATTGTTTACACTGCTTTTTGAGAAAAAAGCTTGGTATTAGCATTGTTATAGTCAGTACCTAAGTAATAGATACAGTTTCTCACAGATTAACTGTGCAACATTAAATCATTGCATTTGGGTCTCAGCATCACACCACCAAAAAATTTATGTGAGTTTGTGAATACACATTTTTAAATGTTTGAAGTTGCTTTTATGGGGGCATTTCAAAGGTTGCTGAACCCACAAATTTACCTGTCAGGAAGGGGCCATAGCATTGAGGCCATTGCTTTATTTTGATTAGGATGTAGGTGATATTATGCCGTAGAGTAAATGATGAAGGGTAGGGATAGTAGCCGGAGGAATGAAGACAGATGTGAGTGAGGCAACACTAAAATTAAAACGTTTTTAGGAATGTAAGCAAGCTACGTGAATTAATAGTGACATATAATGCTATTAAAGTTATTATAAATGAGGAAACCTTTAGCATACTGACATTCAGGTGAAGCTCAACTTTGGGTATACTACGGGAAAAGCAGAAGGTTAAAGAGTGATGATTTAGTAGACAAAAAGTTTTCCTTATATGTGGAAGAAATAGGCTGATATTGACCCTCATCAAGAAAAGGGAAGAGAACATTTAGAGGGAAATAAACTATACGTACTGTCATAAATGTCAGTAACTTTCTTAAAAATCTATTGATAACTAACATACAATAAAAAATACTTCTAGATCATGGGTCTGATTCACTAATCTACAAATGAGAGAAGGGAGAGAGGCATTTCTAAGGTTTAATTTATAGAAGACTTTTTAACTTATATCTAGGAAGAGTGCAGGGTTGGTATTGTTGGTTTCGTTCCCACTTTAAGAGGGGAGAAACGCCATTGGAATGCCACATAATTCTGAAATTGTGACGTTAGCTCCAGTGCTAGCAGGACCTTGAAAGTTCCACATCCCCTTCTCAGTGACTGATCACAGCCTGAGTTTAACCATATTTTATTTCATTTTAAAATTTTTATTTAAATTGACAGATTTTACTTGTAACATATTTATGAAGCACAAAGTGATGTTATGATTTATGAATACAATGTGGAATAATTAAATCAAGCTAATTGACCTATCTGTCACCTCAAATACTCATCATCTTTTTTTGGTGGTGAGAACATTTGAAATTTAGAGATTTTGAAATGTACAATGCACTATTATTAACTATACTCATCACACTGTAAATAGACCTCAAAAAACCCCCTTAATTCTTCTGAGGCTTTCTACCCTTTGACCTTCTCCCCATTCTTCCATTCTCCAGCCTCTGGTAAGCACCATTCTGCTCTGTGCTATTTACCATATTTTAGGATATGGGATGCTGTCAGTGATGAGGCATTCCAGGATTCCGCCTCCAGATAACCTTATTATAAGTGTGGTTCTTAAACTGAAGTCTAATTCTAACAACAGGATTTCCATATTGTTCCTGTGACCACATATATACTAGTATTCTGGTAACTGGAGTCCTCTGTTGTGCCCCTTTGCCCCACTCTTTAACTCAATAATCAGCTCAGTCCTTCATTCTAACAGTTGCCCACAGTGTTTACCTTGCTCTTGCAGGAGTTTTTAACCCATTTATGCCTGAGGTTGCAATTTTTTTTTGTACTTTTGCAATTAGACCCTGACAATGACCTTGAGCAGTAGGATATAAATAACTCCCACATGCTTAGTGTTCTAATAATGGAACACTAGGCATAAATGGGTTTAATAACTACTATGTTATGTAGGTAAACCTCAGATGCAGAAACCTTGAATCAGGTGTAAGTATTAAAGCTAGAGAAAGATGGCAGATGAGTAAGGCAAAATCTAAACGCACTCTACAAAGGGCTGGCTTGTTCATCATCATACATACTGATGCAGATATCATTGAGTCTGAGCTTGCCTGGCTTTCCCAGGACACAATTCCTTTCCCTCTGTTGCTACTGCCGTCTCCAGAGTCATCTGATCATGTAGGCTCTGACCAAACCAGAAGCTGGCAGAGCTGATTATTGTCATTCTTAGTTTGGGGTCCTTTGAAAGCAAAGCATGAGACAAGGACTTGGGTACATGTAATTTATTGGGAGGTAACCACAGGTCACACTTGTGGGGAGAGTATGACAGGGAAGATTGATGCATTTCAGATGTTGCTGCTGTAGCCAAGATGAGCTCTGCTTAACCAGAGCTCAGCAAAGAAAAGAGTATGCTTTTGGAAAATGTGTGCGTGAAAACAGGAATCTGAGCATTAACCTGCATTTACCATCTCCATAGGCTAAGATGTTCCCATTCTCCACACAACTTTCTCTGTCTTTCCAGGCTGCCCTTAGTGACTTTGGAATAGTTTTGGTTTCTGCCTATTATTTTTGTTGGTAGCAATCCCTCCACCTCAACTGTTTGAGTCATAAAAGAATCATTCAACAGGTCAATGGCCATGTTTTAAGTGCCAGGGAGTCTGCTGATATCTTTGACTAGTTTTTACATTCACTTTAACCGGTTCATTTTAATTTATATATTTTCAGGGTCTTTCAGGAAGAAAAAGATACAATGGGATCCTTTAGATCTTTGCATTCTTAAAGATTTCTCTTTAAGACTTCCATGGCAACAAATGCCAGCCAATTCCAAGGTCTTTATGGCTATACTTTTGTTCCATATTGTTCAGGTGCTAGGATGACTGTCTAACTGAATGCTTTTTCCTCCACTGTGATCAGGGACTTGGTCATTGTGATGCTACAGTCCCCATTATGGTTGCCACCACCAGCATTTAATAGATGTTCTTGTCTATCTGGTGAGTGATCTAGGTCCAGAATCCCATCATGAGGCGTTGCTCTCTGGATATTCTGGGAATCAACTGTCTTAGTTTGAGTTCCTTGGAGAGTAGAACCTGAAACAAGGACTTGTGTGCAGGCAGTTATTTTGGAAGGAGTCATTTCAGGAAACAGGAGTGACCAACTGGAGAAAAAGAGGCAGGAAATATTATCATATGGCTGTGTTATTTAGGACTCTGCTATTGGCAACAAAGTCTCAGTTCTGCAGGTACCATGAGTTCATACAATGCCTACAAAGCATTTGAGTTGGCTAATTGCTGCTAAATTGTATTGAAAACCTAGATAATGATAATAAGAGAAAAGAACAGTGAGACGCTGAGAGCTGTTAATAATCAAGCTAAACCGTAAGAACCAGAGAACTTCCAAGGTTGCCTAGAAAGATGTCCTTATTACTTGTAGTGGAAAGGCAGACACTGCAGGCTGGAGACCTAATTGGTAGGATTTCGGAGTTCCAACACTGGAATGCTCAGAGCAGGCAGGTATCTCATGGAACCAGTGCCGTACCAGGGGAATTCTGAGAACCTGAATCATAGAGTACATCTGGATGAATACCTCTGAAGATTGTTATGCTAAAACATCCTCAACATTTTCTGGGCATGCAGAAGTAGTCCAGATAATTCCGGGGCAAGGGCTAGCACTTCTGCTGTGCTGGTAGGTGCTGCCAATCCTGATCATGCCCTACATTGAGTAGAAGTCTAGGCTGTTTCCCCACAACCTTCACTGGGGTAAAACATGCATAGCAGTCTCATGGCTCTCCCAATCTTACTTGGATCCTTTTTTGACATAGTAATTTTCCCCAATAGAATATTTGCACATTTAATCCTGTCTTGGTGTTTTTTTTGTTTTTTTTTTCCTTGGAGGAATGGCCCTACTACACAAAAAGTACAAGAAAAGAGAGACAATTGAGAAAGAACAAAATCTCATTAAAGCAAGATAAAACAAAAACCTAAATAAACTAGAGCAAATTGTTTCACTCACTATCCTTTGGTAGGCATCAAAAGAAGAAAACAGTTACAGGTAGAGAGGAAGAATTGAAAGACAACAACAACAAAAAACTAAAATGATAAGGAAAATGATCATGAACCCAAATCAGGAGGATATTAAACAATTTAAATGGAATATCAATACAGAGAAACAGGGACATGACAGGAAAAAACAAAGAAAAGGAGCATAAAAAAGCTGGTGCCCCTAAAACAAAGTCATGTTTTATGGAATAGGGAACTGGTGATTCAATAGAAGGATACAAAGGGCATGCAGCAGACAGGGATATGAATGACCAATTATTCATCTACAAAAATAGAATTGTATACCTGTAACAGTTTAGTCCTTTGTGTGATTTCTCAGTGCTGTATTCAACTCAAACCAGAAGGATATACTTCTGAGCTATATATAATTATATCTGAAATTGATATTTTTTGTTTACATCCAAAGTGGCACATAGGTAAGTGTTAGGATTAAACTTGATTGAATCATTAAGCAGTTTCGTTTTTCTGGGAATGCTTATTCAGAAAGTTGAAAAACTGTATACATCTATAGCGTGTGCATTGTTTGTTTTATCTCTTTAGCTAAATTTGCTTACATATTTCTACAATTTAATTCATCATAATTATAGAGCAATATAGGGGATAATATTGGTTGCATATACATAGTGGAATTTCTAGAATTTCATTCATTTTAATTATAGAACAACATAGGGGATTATATTGGTTGCATGTATGTAGTGGCAGGGATATCCTGGATTTTATTACATTTTTAAATATATAATCTTATGTTCTTGTTTGTTGATATGAAAAATTAACATTCTTAGAATGCGGGGAAGCTTTAGAAGACATAACTCTTTAGCCATGTGGCTAAATTTTGTGTAGTTTTCATACAGCTTTGAAAGGTTAAATGAGAAAGTCTCTGGCAGTAACAGCATACTTTTGATGCTATTGTTAATTAGTTTTCATCAGCACTACCAATGAAAGCTATCTGAACACCCAGGTTCCATCTTTAAAATGAAGTTACAACTAGACCTGATTTTTAAATTTGGACTTTCCTTAATTTGGTTTAAGAATGGTATTGAAAACGAAAGGATAATGCATTTTAACTTTACCTTTGCCTGCTTTTAAATACAAGACAAATCTTGACAATGAACTCTTAGTTGATCTCAAGTTGCATCAAACTAATAAATGTGAGTCAATGATAAAATTGAAAAAAGCATTTTGACTGCACTTTTACACGTAAGCCACATGCACAAGGAATGACTGAAGTTTCTTTCTCTTCTGTATGCCCTTGTCCGTTGGTATCCATGAAGGATTGATTTCCAAGATCCCCCACCCCCGCCAGATACAAAAATTCATGGATGCTCTAGTCTCATATATAAAATGGAGTATAGTTGACCTTCTGTATCTGTCGACCCTGACTATATTCATTTGTGACAGGAGAGCCCAATGTTTGGTCCATCAAGTCCAGGAAGTGTTCACATCTAGAACATCTTGTAACTTCATTTCAGAGCTAACTATTACAGGGCTCAATAATATACCATTGAGGCACATCCCTAAGATCCTTTTGTCCTGTTATATCAGCTTTCTCCTCCCTCTTTCTTTTAGGCTAGAGCCCAGATGTCCATCACAGTTGAAAATAAATCTTGCCTCCAAGTAACATATTTTCATAAAGTAACTCTTTGGAGGAAAATGTCCTGACCCAGTAGTGTTTGTTTGGGGTGGAAGGGAAAGGTAAGGGGTGCCTATACCTGAAAGGAGATGATTTTAGGATTGATCCAAAAATAGAGTGCTTCTACTCCTTTAATTTTTTTTACATGGGAAGTAAAACAATTACGTAATCAATTACAAAGTACACTAAATTATTTATTCTGTGTAGTAAATTTGAGTACATGAGCAATTATATCTAAATCATCAGAAGAATAATATAAATTCCTATTCTACCAGCAACAGTGATACTTTGGCCAGTCCTTCTTGTGTTAGCAAAGGAAGTGAATAGAATTACATGTTGCTTTTGACAACATGTAAACTAGCAGCAATTTCAGACAGCAAATAACTTTGTTCTTTTTTTTCTATGTGTGACTGAACAAATATGCAAAATGAGACACTAGACATGTCAAGAGAAGTTTATGAGAAAAAGCAATGTCAATATATTTTCCATTCTTAAAAAAAAAGTGCCTGAAAATGTTGGAACCATTCATCCATTTACAGTATAATCATGGAATCTTTAAGAATATCAGACATTTGGTGCATTCAAATAAGCAATTAACTATCAGAAGGAGGGCTAAAATTTTTAATTTAGACAAAGGTATGTAGGCATTCTTAAAAGTAAAACTCAGAAATGAGGCAAGTTCTGAAAAGTTGTACTTGTATTTTGTACTAAAGAACAGGCAGAGAAGCCTTCCCATTAGGTATATGGGAAGGTGTATAGATGTATGCCGTCTTCCCTGAACCAAGACGTGGAAACATGATATATTAAAACATAGAAATCAATGGTAAAACATGTCCTATCTAGGATGGTGTAGAAAGAAATTATCAGAATTGGAGTGGAACATACACTATCCCTGCCCTAAGAAAAAAGATTACACCAAAGAATTGCCTCTGAGTACAATGTGGACTTGTTTCTTTGATATCGATGGCTTCGCTCATAAAAAATTCAGCCCACGAGGTTAACCTGTCCATCAGGCTTATCGTACAGAATTCTTACGGTGTCTGAGTGCTCTGTGGGTGTGACAGCCTGCACACACCAGAGAGCGTGGGCTCACTTGCCGCGCCCTTTCTGAGAACACCGCAGAGCGACAATGAGAGAACTGAACTTCATCAGCCATGCAGGGCTCTCAGCCTCAGACTGTCTTTGAATTAGCCCACCCTCAGTGATGTAGACTTGTTGCTCTGAGAATGTGCTACTGGCTCTGAAAGTAAATCTCACAGAGCAGTTCCAAGACAATTTTTGAGCAATTACAATATCATTAGAATAAGTTTATTTTCTCCCAGAGCAGTTATTTTGAAGGGGACAATACTCATTTAGAGGGATAGTTTCTGATACACTTGCAGAAAGAAAACCCTCCAAAATCTCACTCGAATGCACTCATGGAAATTAAATGAATATACAAATTACCCAGGCTTAAATATGGTTTGAGTGAGGTGAATCTGTGTTTATTTTACTTAGCATCTGCATTTTTGAATTTATAAAGCATCTTTGTGTTGCCTGTTACTTTTTCATTTGAATTCCTTGGTCAAGCTCCAGTCATCATTTGAACGACAAATGTAGCAGTAATATAATGGTTTTTAAAAGACTGTTATTATGCTGTCTTTGAACTCCAGCCACATGTGCCTGTTGTGTGATTATTTTCTTTTTTCTGCATAATTTGGAAAAGCTTCAGATGTGAGTTTTTTCCCTAAAAGCACAGTGTTTTCTCAGTTCCCATTTTAACTGAACTCTGTGCAATGTCAAGAGCTTATCCTGAATTCCTCTTTCTTCCTCATTGCCCACGTCAACAAGCCCTGCTGTGCCTATATCCTAAACATTTCCCCCAAATCTACTGCTCTTCACCTCTATCTCCACTGCCTTTGTTCAAACCATTACCGTCTTTCAACTGGTTTGGGATCTTGCATGGCCTCCTCAGTGCTCTTCCTGCTTCCCCCTTGTCCTCTAAAACCCTCTCCGCACAGGTGACCTGCTGCGTGATGCTCTTGAAAAGTAATTCAGGTCATGTTACCCTCCCACATAAAACACTCCTGTTTCTTTTCATTGCACTTGGAAATAACGTTTTTCTCTGAGGATGCTGCTCTCTATCTCTCCCTCCAGTCTCATCTCAAGCCATTTCTCCAATGAGTTGCTCACGATGAAACCAACTACACTCCTCTGTCTCTATACTTGGCCTGGTTTGTTCTGGTTGGGATACTCTTCCCACTGAATTTTTATGGCTAGCTACTTCTTATCTTTCAGATACCAGCTCAAATGACACCTCTTCAGAGAGCTAATTCCTGGCCATTTAATCTAAACTAGCCACCAATTTACTTCATTATACTATCAGATTTGAATTCTCTATAATACTTATTACTCTCTGATATTTTTCTTCTGCATATATACATTTCTTGTTTACTGCACATAAGATCCATAAAAGCGGAGATAATGACACTTTTTCCTCTGACTCCCCACTGGCTACAATGGTGCTTGCCCATGGTCAACATTCAATAAACATTTGTTTAATAAATGAACAAATATCAAAGTCAAACCTATCTTTAAAAATCTTGCAATTTTCCCATCTCTGATCTCTCAGATTGTTTACTTTGTTGGTCCTATTCCAGTCCTATTCTGTGTCATGTCCTTTCTAAGCCTCCTGGGGCCACCACTGTTATGTGCTGCATCTTTATATGCTACATCCTTTAAGAATGGTTAAGAGCATGGGGTATTAAGAATCCGACCACTTAGGTTTAAAATATGTCTACTCCTGTGTGTCACTTTGGGAAGGCAAATTGACACTTTTGTATTTTCTTTTCCAATGTATAGAGTAGGACTCGTTTCCAGTATTAAATGAGTTAATAATTATAAAATGTTTAGAATCATGCCTGACATATAGTAAGAAGATAGTACATGCTACCTATGTATCTTTTATTTTCAGTTTTTCTGTGATAGTAATTTTCTCTAATCTGTTTATCCAATAGGTGCTATAGGTTCTAGTATATTTATATAATACCACCATCAACTGGAAGTGTAGCAGATTTGGTAAACTGGAGACTTGGGTTAGCATTAATTAGCTGAGAGATTTTGGGAAAGTCACTATATCTTTCTGGGATATAGTCCTGTGTATAATGAATGATCAAATTATACTCATTATAAAATTATAAATGTTTTATAAAATTATAAAAAAATTAGCAGGTGAATCATTCTGTAAGCTTACATTGAATTCCATTTTTAACAACGGCTAAAGTAGAGATTCTCTAGTTGAAAGAGTTCAGTCACAGACGTGATCTGCCTGGTTTCTCCTTTCCTTTCCTTCCCTTCCCTGTTACCTCCTGGCAGCCCCTGAGCACAACCCCAGGAGTTGTGCTTTTCTCTTTATCTTGTGAACATTTTTGATGGATATTACTTTAGCATTTTATTTTTAATCACTAGCCAGGACCATTTAATTTTTAATCCATTTCTATTGTTTATAAACTGCCATTTCAATTTCTATAGTTCAAAGCTGTAGGCTTCATAGCTGGTATAACTCTCTATTCTGTATATGTGTAAAGTTGATTTTTACCCATGGAGTCACTCAGTTTTCTGTGGTTAACTTTGCTTTGGTCCTATTTGTTGGAATATCTGATGATAATGGCGGTTACCAAGAGTGTGGTTGCCAGTAACTGCTCTTACAATGGAGAAATGTTATATGTATCTCATTTGGTACATACTTATTAAAATAAATGTTTGATAATATTCACTTCTCCATGTTCTGTGAATATCTACAATATCTATAACCTGCAAAAATTGAGAAAATACATTTCTTTATACATATTTTGTTATATGAAACAAATGTGTATAAATGATTCTGGCATGTGTTCAATGCTTTTCCAAATCCTTATATTAAATGTCTCATGTCTAGAAAAATCCTTGGCTTGGCAAGTTTTCATCTATTTGGGATAGACGCCCATTGAAAATTCTGTATTTAAAATAATCCTAAAGTGACTCTTCTAGAGCAATAAATCCTTTTATTTTGAGCATTAAAAAAATCACTCCCTAAGTTATCTGTTTTGTGGGGTTGAGTTTTTGTGTATTGTATTCAGTTTTCTCAAAGCAGGTATACCTGAATATAAGTATTACTTATCTCTTTCTTTTGCTTCTGACCTTAATTCTTTTCTTATGATTGGTAGAAGCTGTGCCTAATGTGTTGCCATCACAGCACTATTATTTTTAATGTAGTTCTGAATTTTAATTATATTTTACTTTGTAACTTTTTACCCTCCAATTCTATATAGTTTTAAACTTTCTTTCATGTGCATAGGCAAAAGTAGAAGCTACACATTTCAGCTAGAAGATTTATTGCTCTTAGTTTCTCTTTATTTCTGCTTATAAATGTTTGTGTTCTGTATAAGCACCTATGTTATTTCCTTATTATTAAAGTATACACATCTTTATGGAACACTATATTCTAGAATGATGGATCTAGGAATCTCTGGTTGGTCTTACAACATCCCAACTCTTCTAGCCCACCCACAACATTCCCAGTTTCACAACTACCACCTGTCCTACACCATCAAGACTATCCTCATGACACTCTCTCCCCTGTGTAAGTCAGTGGCCGCAGGTGTCACTTAGACTCTAAACCAGGCACGAGTCCATCAGAGTGAGTCACATTTCCTACCCCTTGCTCTCTGCCACTAGGATTCATTCTGTCCCTTTTCTGATATTTTTCATAGTATACATTTACTCTTATATATTTTACTTACACATTATCACCCTGTCTCCCTTTTCTCTATTAGAATAAAAGTTCCACATGGATAGATATGTTGCTGTTTTGTTCACTTCCCTATCTCTACTTAATAGAATATCAACAAACATATAGCAGGAACTTAATCTTTGTTGAAAGAATGAATGAATTAATAAATAAGTCCCCAGTTGTCTATTGCTCCCCCTTTTAAATCTCCCTTTCCCTGAAGCTCTCTAAGTAATTCTCTAAAGAGAGACTGTATATTAGTTAAGGTAACATTAGCTGCTACAACAGATTAAACCCCCTAATCTCAGTGATTTGGCAGGTCATATTACTATAATTTGTTTCCATAAGAATTCCATAAAGAGTCTAAAATGAGTGTTCATGGTCATCTGACACTTCCTTCCAAGCAGTGATTTGGCAACCCAGGCCCCTTCTGTCGTTGAACTCTGCCCTTAACACAGGGCGTCCCAGGTTACTGTGCTCATCTGTGTCAAGCTAGCAGAAGAAGGAAGGCCACTGTTAATGGCATGTGACATACATGGCCTCTGCTCAGATTACATTGTCCAGAACCCAGTGATAACCCTCCTCCACAGGGAGTTTAAGAAATGTAGACCCTCTGTAGGCCCCAGGAGGAGAAGAAACAAGTTTGATAATTAGCTAGCCAATCTCTTTCAAAAATGGGCACACCCCGTTTGTAGAGCTTGGAGAATTAAGTAAGACCTGCCTAAACCACCTCAGTACTATTCTAATAAGACTCTATTCCAAAGAGCTTAGGGGAAGAGATGCCAAAGGGCCAGCCTTATTGGTGAGCCTAAACAAACTCCTGCTCATGACAGTGTCTCCAGTAATGCTTCATAGGTTCCTCTCTTTCCCTTTCATCTCCTCCCTCTTCTTATTATTTTTTTTTGTAAAGAACTATGAATCCTAGGATGTCATAATTTCAGAATCCAAATTGCAAAAATTTCTTGCCTCTTCTATGTCTAACCTGGGCACATTTTGACTTTTCTGATTTCACTTAATATGTGGCTAAGTAGTGCCAAGCACTTAATTTTGATTTTTTTTGGGGGGGTTGCGGGGACAGGGTCTTGCTCTGTTGCCCAGGCTGAAGTGTGGTGGTGTGATTTTGGCTCACTGCAACCTCTGCCTCCTGGGTTCAAGTGATTCTCCTATATCAGCCTCCTGAGTAGCTTGGATTACAGGCGCGAACCACCACACTCAGCTAATTTTTGTAGTTTTTAGTAGAGATAGGGTTTTGCCACATTGGGCAGGCTGGTCTTGAACTCCTGAGCTCAATAATGCTCCTGCCTTGGCCTCCTAAAGTGCTGGGATTACAGGTGTGAACCACGGTGCCAGGACTTAATTTTGGATTTTGGAAGGCAAGAGTATGTGGTGCTAAATTAAACTCCAGTCTTCCCACAAAGTGAATCCTGCTCAGTAACAGTCACCAGGTTTGGGAATAGATGCTGGAGTTTTAAGTTGTCACCCAACATCATGCCAAAACAGAGTTAGATAATTACTACTTATTTCAAAATGCTAAATGGGTAGGCCAGATGTTTGCAT
Organism: Homo sapiens; assembly: GCF_000001405.40. Classification (NCBI taxonomy): domain Eukaryota; kingdom Metazoa; phylum Chordata; class Mammalia; order Primates; family Hominidae; genus Homo; species Homo sapiens. Next base: position 104,296,938 of record NC_000006.12, on the reverse strand, counting down.
ACGGGAGGAAGTATTTTTAAATGACAGTTTTCCAGTGACTATTAAACCACGTGGGAGTAAAATGTTACAAGGCTATTTATTCAAACAAATAGTAAAAAAAAATTTTGGGACATATTAATCAGTGAAAAAGAGAGGACAGACCTTAAATGAAAGTAAAAATGAAGCATTAGTTAACATATTCAATGATCTAAAAATAGCAATCACCATCAATGACACAGGGCAGTCCTGAAAAAGACCAGGCTTTCCTGAAACAGGAGATTTCCAATTCAGAGACACCTCAGTGAGCTTTAATTTTACATGAAAAGGATATTAAAGCTAACTTTGTCTTCTCATTAGGGATATAGAGTGGTGCTAGAATCTGAGATGCAGAAATATAGATGCAGGCAGCTTTTATGGTGCTTCACACATCTTTCTATGTTCACACGTAACACACCTTACTTATTTGACAATGTGGAGACTAGAGTGAAGCACCACTCCTTATTACTTCCCCTCAAATGTGTCATTCAACAACATTTATAGACCCTGAGGATCCAGAGATGAATAAGATAAGGTCTCCCCTATGGAAGCTTGTGCCCTAATAGGAGGTACACACATCTATGAGCAGTTATAACATGAGACAGAGAGGTCCAGATAAGAGCTGGACTCAGAGGAGGTGACTATCTGGGTGGTGTAGTGTGATGAGACACCCACCAGGTTGCGTAGGGGTGAAATGTTTGCTGCTTAAACTCTGAAGGCTAGTTGGTGAGCCAAGACCATGGTGACCACCTGAGGAGCACGAGTCTCTGAGAACCGAAACCATCCCAGAAGGTATCTGGGAACATACCAAGGAAAAGAGTCTTATTGCTTACAGTAGGCAAAGAGCCAGAAAATTAGCTTAAAAGCAGCTTAGAGTTGGGAGGGGGCACCAATCTCTGGAACTGTCCTGCTGTCACCCAGGAATGCCCTGTATGTAAGTCATAATAAAATCTACACACCAAGCTGGACTTGTCTGAGTCATTCTTTGGTCTCTTGGCTCCTTCCCAGTTTGAAGGGACATTATAGTCTCAGTTTTTTCCCATAACAGGTGGCCTCACTGGAAGGCTGTCTCTCCTGGACTCTGGGCTCCAGGAAGGCAGAGACAGTCATTCCCATTTTTGCATCCCAGGTGCTTAGGAAAGGGCATCAGGAACAAGAGACGTCTGCCTCCAGGGTTTGAAACATCGTTTTACTTCTCCTAATAGTTTCAAATAAAATGGACTATTGAAAGGGGGCAGCTATAATGACAGGGGATGCTGTCATGCCCAGATTTTCCAGCATTGGTATGAATCTTCAGTCTAAAACAGGACTTCTCAACCATAGGACTATTGGCATTTTGGACTGGATAATTTTTTTGTTGCAAGATGTTCTGTGCATTATTTAGTAGCATCCCTCACCTCTAGGTACTAAATGCCAGTGAAAGCTTCCCATTCCCTAGTTAAGACAAAAAATATCTCCATATATTGCCAATTGTCCCTTGTGGTACAACATCATTCCTGTTTGAGAATTCCTTGACTAGAGGATATCTTTTCTTTCTAGACTCTGCCTCCTACTTTCTGCATATTGATTATATATATATATTTTTTTCTTTTTTTATTATACTTTAAGTTCTAGGGTACATGTGCACAACGTGCAGGTTTGTTACTGGATTAAGAAAATGTGGCACATATACACCATTGATTATATTTTTACTTGCTGTAGGATATTTTTATTTTATACCTTCATATAAATACTTAAGCTTTCTCATGTTAAATATTATCTCAAATAATATGTAATATAGAAGCAGGGACCATATTTGCTTTGTGCATGCAAACATGTGCAAGTATGTGTTTTTTATTGTACTCATGATGCCTCATACCTTCTGTGGGGATCACAGAAAGAATAATGAAGGAGTGAAGTTTGGTAATGAATGAATGAATTTGGTAATGAAGAACAATTGCATGTTCTTTGTTTCCCTGTATCTACATCCAAGCAATGTGACTTCACATCTGTTCTATAAAGAGGTGATCTATTTCCCCACCCCTTGGATCTGGCCTAGCCTTATGATTTGACTAATGGAGTAATAGAAAATGGAATGTAAGATGAGACTTGAGAAGTTCCCTCACATTGAGGCTTATTATTTTGCTTTTTGGAACTCCTGGGGCTAGCCTGCTGGAGGCTGAGAAATCACATGGGGAGAGGTCTTATCATTCCTAGATGTCCCAGCTGATACCATCATAGCCCAGCCAGCTGACCTTTAAGGTTTGAAAGAATCCAGATAGGCCGGGCGCGGTGGCTCACGCCTGTAATCCCAGCACTTTGGGAGGCCGAGGCGGGTGGATCATGAGGTCAGGAGATCGAGACCATCCTGGCTAACAAGGTGAAACCCCGTCTCTACTAAAAAAAATACAAAAAATTAGCCGGGCGCGGTGGCGGGCGCCTGTAGTCCCAGCTACTCGGGAGGCTGAGGCAGGAGAATGGCGTGAACCCGGGAAGCGGAGCTTGCAGTGAGCCGAGATTGCGCCACTGCAGTCCGCAGTCCGGCCTGGGCGACAGAGCGAGACTCCGTCTTAAAAAAAAAAAAAAAAAAAGAATCCAGATAAACTCAGTGGAGCCCATCCAGACTAGAACTGACTAGGAGAACCCAGCTCAATTTTCTCATCTGCAGAATCATGAGCTAAGGAAATGGTTGTTGTTTTGAACCACTCATTTTGGAGGTTGTTTCTTATATATCAAAAGCAAATTAATGAACACTTAACATCTTAGTTAATTGGAGCTCAGGACTGTTTTGTGGAGAATGGGTAAGAGTGATGTATAAGTGTTTCAGGGCTGTAACAAAGCTCCACGAGCTGGGGGGCTTAAATAAAAGAAGTCATCTCACAGTTCTGGAGGCTAAAAATCTGAAGTCAAGATGTTGGCAGGGTTGGTTCCTTCTGACAGCTGTGAGGGAAGAAATGGTTTCAGGCCTCTCTCCTTGGCTTGTAGATGACTGTTTGCATCTTCGTGTGGCCTCTGTGTGTGTCTGTGTCCAAATTTCTCCTTTTTATAAAGACATCAATCATAGTGGATTAGAGCCTACTCCAAAGGCTCATCTTAACTACATGTGCAATGACCTCATTCCCAGTAAGGTCACATTCTGAGGTAGAGGAGCGGGGGATTAGTACTTCAACATATGACTTTTGGGGGTATACAATTCAAGTCAAAATAAATAGGAAGTTGGCAGAAATTGAACTGGTAATAATGCCAAAATACTTGTTGCTATACTTCCCTGTCTTCCTAAGGAATTAAATTTTATTGATATTTATGTTGAAAATAGAGGGCCTCTAAAAATCTTTATAGAAGTACTATTATCCTATTATAATATCTATATTACAGAAAAGAAGAAGAATAGCATGAAGATTGTGGTGGTAAGTGGTCCAGGAAGGAAGCTATTAAAGGAATTTCTCTATTATAAAGATCTCGGCTCACTCTGTGAGGATGGAGAAGAGATAAGAGACATGAGCTGTTTCGGAGGCATTATTGCTATAAATATGCTGTGGCTGTCAGTGGACACCTGAAAGTTGCATTCAGTTCTGGACATCACCCTTTAACGGCGTGATAGACAAGGTGGGGCACACACAAGTGAGAGTGGTCAGGAGGGAAGGATTATGATAACATGTCATACCGCTTAAGCTAGAGAGAGGGAAAATGCAGTGAGAATGATAACTGCTTTCAGCTGTTTGAAAGGTTGTCATGTGGGAGAAGGATTAAACTTGGTCTTGAGTGGCCCAACACATCTAGGACCAATGAGTTAAAGCTTCTGGCAGACAGCTTTTGGCTGTAATATGTGGGTTGAAATTCTTTAGTCAGAGTAATCCTAGGAGGGAACAGTCAGGGATGTTTCTTCTAGTCCTGTGATTTCAAATTTGACTGTAGCCAGTGCAAAAAAGAACTATTGTGTCAAGATCTTTGTGGCACCTGTGATATTGTATGACATTTATGGCAGTGAATCAGCTTTCTGTCACTTGATTGGTGAATGGATTAAAAAGACACACTGCAAAACCCCTAAATGATAGAGCAATATTCTAATTGTTACATAATCAAATGACATCAACATCTTTTTCATGAATTAACTGAAGCAAAAGAAAACAACCCCTCCCCAAATCTACAAGATGTCTAAAACCAGCTATGTGTTTAAAGAGTAACTTTGATCTCTTCTTTTCTATTTTGAACCTACAGTTTGCCCTTATCATATGTTGCCTTGTTTTCTAGTTATCATTGTGTCAGAATTTATAAATAGAGCCTATAACTATATAATGCCACAAAACATGAAGCTTTCTTTTCCTCTAATTGTTCTCACTTTAGTCCTTGTCTTCCTAGCTAGATTTTAAGTTGCTTTTGAACAAGGACCAAAGGCTTCATGCTTTTTGTTAAAATGGCTCATGAAAGAGCTTTCAAGCTATTTTCTCTGGTCTGATAGGCATCATAATATGACACAACTGGGATATGTTTTTCCTTCATTCTAGAATTACTTCATAAACAGAGGCAAACAATACATAGATACATTTATTAAACTAACACAGTGGTAAACTCATCAATAATGTTTATAAAGGGTCCACTTTGACCAACAGAGTGTTAGTACCATGGGGACTAGAAAGTATCCTAGGATCCACTTATTCAGAGTCTAGCTTTGCTGGAGAACTAACATATTGGATACATTAAGTTCTCAATGGCTTGGCAATATGAAGAGAGATGAATGCAGTAGTACTTAGGGGTATTTTAAAAACCAAGTCAGCTATGAAGGATGGGAGGAAAAATACAGAAGGCAGATGAGAGGGAGAGAATTTCAAGAATATGTAGCTGTTTGAACAAAAGCCTAATTTTTGTGTTAAATCGTGTCCCCAAAATATATGTTCAACTCCTAACCCCCATTGCCTGTGAATGTGACCTTATTTGGAATTAGCATCTTTGCAAATGTAACCCAGCTAAGATGAGGTCATACTGCATTAGAGTGGGTCCTAATCAAATGATTAGTGTCCTTATAAGATGAGGGAAATTTGGACACGGACATGGAAGAGAATGCCATGTGATGAGAGAGGCAGAGATTGAAATAGTTTGTCAAGGAGCCGGGAAACACCAAGGATTGCACCAGAAAAGAGGCATGGAGTAGATTCTCCCTTAGGTCCTTCAGAAGGGATCAACATTACTGATACCTTGATTTTGGACTTTAGAATTGTGAGACAATACATTTCCGTTGTTATAATGCATCCAATTTGTAGTATAGGTTGAACATCCTTAATTGAAAAATCCAAAATCCAAAATCAAATGTTTTGAGCATTGACATGATGCCACAATTGGAAAATTTCACCCCTGCAGCCAAATGCAGTTGAAACTGTTTCATACACAAAATTATTTAAAATATTATATAAATTACCTTCAGGCCATGTGTATAAGGTTTATATGAAACATAAATAAATCTTATGTGTAGTCTTGGATCCCATCACCAAGATGACTCATTATGTATATACAAATATTCCTGAATCTGAAATCCAAAACACCTCTGGTCCCAAGCATTTTGGATAAGGAATACTTCACCTGTGCTTTTAAAGGCAGCCCTGGAAAACTATTATGCCTAGAGACAGAAAAGTAAGTGGGTGTGGAGGCAGACAGGAGACCTGCTTAGATGAAACAAAGGTTAAAAGATGGGGAGGAAGGAGCAAGGCATGAGTTGAATTATGTAAGAACTTTCCAGAAATAACACTAAATGCAGCTAATAATTTTCTATAGCGCATACTATCTGCCAAACATCATTATAAATGCTTTATGTATATCTCATTTAATTCTCACAACAACCCTTAGAGGTAGGTACTAATGTGTTATCCTTACTTTACAGATTGAAAAAAAAAAAACTGAGGCAAGATGATTAGGTAACTTGCCCAAATATATGTAGCTAGTAAGTAATGTGATAAAGTCAGGATTAGAACCTAGAAAACATGGTCTCTTGATCATACCTACATTTGAAATGGGCTGAAATGCAGAAATAGTGTCATCTTATGGGTATGACAAGAACAGTTAAGCCTGTTATGTTTCCTTCATCAACAGTCTTCTGTTATGTAAAACACTTTTTTTTTTTCTCTGATTAGGATGTTAAAACCTCTTCTTTGGATGGTATAGCAATTTGTCTTGTAACTGTTTATAAATCAGAACTATTTCCTCTCACCACATTACATTTCATTTTCAGACCAATGTCTAATAGTAAGTTAATTCCTCTCTGTTGGGTCACCCAGTCACCATAATTTTGCTGATTTCTTTACTCTTCTTGTCCAAAGAGTATGTTAATTGCTTCAGGAGTTCTGTTTTCCTCAGCATGGTTATAATCAATCTAGAAGACAAGGCCTGGATAACAAAAGCAAAATTACTTCTTGTTGTCCATAGTAATTCCCCCCTACAGATTTTCCCAGAGTGTTTCTTACTAGAGGAAAATGAGCAAACACATTAGATACACCCAAATCTGATGGCCAAACATTTCTTTAAAATGACTTAGTTTCAGTTTTAATTTATAAAACAATTTAATAGAGATTTTAAACATATGGAGATATATGGCAATAGTTTTATATGCTATCTTATGAATTGAAAAAAAAAATATGAATGTTATGGTTAATTTAAATATGATAGGGCAGAAACTGATTTTTCATAATGTTTAATGAAAATATAACACAAATATATATTATAAAAATGTAGTTAGAAGGATTGTTTACGTAAAGCTGGCGGGAAAATCCATACAACTTAAGGATAATAGAGCAAAGAAATGAACAATGGAAAGGAAGACAATAAGATATTTAGAAAGGAAAAGACAAGAACATTATTGAAAAAAGTTGTCTTTAATTTTAAAATTATCCATATGCTACATATTAGGATTAATTAGAAAATAAAAATAGGAACTTTCTGATATGTTTACTTCATGATTTAGTGCAGTATTGAGAAGCAGATATGTAAGTATAATTTCTAACATCTTAATTTTGATTGCTCATAGACTGCCAAGATTGGGAAGGTAATATCAATAAGTCACTGGTATAAAAAGTCTCTTGTTTGTTAGCCAATTGGCTTTCCTTTAAGATGAGAGGAAAGCCTTTGGATGTCTAGCTAAAGATAAATATTCTATACTAATTGACATAAAAGAGTTTTGGTTGTTACACCAACTATGGACCCACCTTGTCAGTCACCCTTGTGAGGAATTATTTGCAGTTGGACTGTAGATGAACGAAATGTACATTACCACAAGGTCAAATTTTCTGGCATCTATTTATGAAAATGATAAAGATGATAGTAACTTATCTTTTCGTAAGCTTCAAATAAGGGGTTCTGAATTATCATTTGTCAATTTTAATTTTCTTTTTTTTTTTTGAGATGGAGTCTCCCTCTGTAGCCCAGGCTAGAGTCAGCTTTAAATTTATAGGAGAAAATAATCTATTGTTAATCACTCATTTTTAAGGAATGCCAGTATGCATTATTTGCTCATGGATTAGTTGTGGCTGCCAGTAAACTGTAATTACAGCAAGGATGGGCACTGAACTGGGAGATACATTCTTAATTTTTGAAAGATATAAAACATAAACCCCTGAGACAGAAGGAAATTACCCTTTCCTAAGTCATGTACTGAGTGGTCCACCTGAGAATGGAATCACACCCATGAGAGCTTGGATACTGGGACAAGGGCATAAATGTGGTGGGTGATGGAAAATGTATTAAAAAGAACGAGAAAAATCTGAGTTTTATTTCTAACTCTCTTGTATGCTAACTAAAATGTGGCCAAATCATTCTTTCTCACACAGTTATTAAGTGTTTGTTCAAGGTGTGTTAAAGGTTTTTTAATTTTGGGGGACTTCAGTTTTCTATATTTATCAATTTAGAAGAAAATAAGAGGATTAAGCCCTCAAGTACCTCTCAGAGCTAAGATTTTTTGACTTTGTAAACATCTAGTTAACACTTTGGCCTGTGGAAGATGCTTTGTCTGAATGTGTTTTCTTCTAATCCTTTCAATATGTTTTAATAAAATGTCACCACCTTTATAAAGTTGGACCTGAAGGATCACCTCAGAGTCCAGGGTCTTGAACTTAAGGCTAGTCTCAATGCTAAGACATAGGAGTGCAGCCCTAGTGCTCTGTGGCTAAAGCCTTCACAGAAGACACACTAAGATAAAGGACACTGGAGTGGACTGCAGTCAAGAAAATTACTGTGCAAACCATATTTTTCATTGTATCAAAACTGATCATTTCCTACAACAAACGTTATGGCATCATCTACTTCAATAAAAGGCGGAAGTGCCTTCAGGTCTGAGCAAGAAACGTTGCCTTTTTGAGTCCCATGCCTTTCATTCCTCTGCCTTTCTTATTCCCCTTCACTAATGCAGTGAAGTACCACTCCTTGGACTGTCTACCCCACTCTTTGGTGTGTCTTTCTGTAGTTAAAAGAAGTATAGTTTTTTTGCTACACACGTTTCAGAATTTCTACTAAGAAGAATATGGACTCTTCACATTGTTTATTTACCCCAAGCTGAGAGTATTAATGTTAGAAGAGAGAAAATGTAGAAAACTTGCTGAATTCTGGTAAAATTCTGGTGTAATCTGAATCATAATCATGTCTGGGATTCAAGCTCATGCCAAAGTAGTACATTTATTTGTGCTTGGGCTAGATACAAATGTTTAGACAGTAAATGCAATATTTTATTCCAAGTTTCATTGTATCTACTTGTGTAAAGCCATCATTGGTGAACTGGGAGAAGAGAATATGAAACTACCCAAGCCTTACATTAGGTTTTGAATATTAAGATATTAGAATAAAAACTATTTCAATGCCTCACAGAAATTGTATTCCGAAAATCCTTGGCAATGCAAGTCCGTCATTGTCAAATTAACTGAAAGTGAGCTATTAATAAATCTCTATTTTATTTATATAAAATATAAACCTCATAAAGCTTATCTTTCTGATAAACATCTGTAATAATACAAAATAAGTAATTTATCTTAAAAAAGTATAGTTTATATTTTCCAAATTGTTCACCAGCAGAAGAAGAATTCTATTCTGTATGAATAGTATAATTGCATCTATACTGGCATCACGTGGACTCATTCTCATGATTAAGAGCTCTATGGGCATATAGGCTTATGTTGCCAAAATTTCCAGCTCTGTGGAGTTCTGAAACTCATGAACAACATTTCTAAGTTATTTTAAAAGGTGGTTCTTTATATAGAGGAATCCAATACATGGAATTTTCCTCTTCTTACTCCTTCTCACCAGAGAAAAGTGATTCTAACTCCAAGGTGCATTCCATACCCATCCATGACTTCCTTAACTTCCGAACCCATCAAGAATTGCCCAGACATTAGAATAGCAGCCAAGCAAAATGAGGTGGCTAGTGCTCTTGGCATCCATATTGGAACTGACTTTTTCCCAGAATAATTTACTTTCCATTTCATACTATTCACAATAGGTCAACATGTTTGTTTAAAATTTTTGCTCTAAAAGTTAACACTACAGCTATTTCATATATTGAAGTTTTCCATTCTCTCGATAAAAACAAGACTAGATTTATGTAACTGAATTATATTTAACTTTTAGTTTTTAAAAAATCTAGATTCTACAAGTTAAAAATAAAAGACGTGAATGAAGAGATGTGATAAAATTTATTTTCCCAATGACATTATCACTGTTTTTTGTTTTCTTTTATTGTTATAATAAGTTATTGGTCATTTGGTTATGTTTAATTATGTTCCAGGCTAGGTCACAATTGCCTCACTGCCTTTCCTACCCCTACTTGTTTAAACTCTCTGGATGATGGTCTCCCTTCTTTAAACTCAAGCTGCTCTAAAGTAGAAAGAAACATCCTGATATCATCACAAAAGAAGATTCAACTTACCACTTTCCTGAGAAATGCTATTTTAAAACCTCTTCTTATTCTTCAGACTACCCTCTTTGATTTATCCTGTTTTTCACCTTCAAAGTTTCTGTGTCTTTTTCCTCATCTGTCTCTGTGTCAGCACAGCGCTATCACTAGAATCTGTATCATCATTCTCTTTTCCAACCCATGTGTCTGGGTCTGACCTCTGCTTCCCTCATGTCTTGGTCTTTGTTAAGCATTTCAGGATCAAATTAAATTTTATGACAGCACCCTTCTGGTATTTTTTAAAAAAGACTATCTGGTTAGGAGGTACATAGTTTTTAGCAACATTTCAACTTGACAGCAATCTGTATATGATTTATGTAGCTTGTTATTTCCCTGTGAAGAAAAGAAAATCTCTTCATAATCACTAAATAATTTACCCCCACAAGAGACCCCTAGAGAGAAATAACAGAAGAATCACTGTGTTGAGAGGACTCATCAAAGCCCACCTACCTCCTGTCCTTTGGGTGGGACTCTTGCCCTTTGGGAAGAGTCTCATTCTTAAACATTTCTGGGGAAGGGAGATTCCACAATTCTGCCTGTCAGCATGTTTCAGTGTATCATGTGATTTTGGACTTCAGCAGTAGAGGACACATTCTGTCTGTCATTTTGTACTAAATATGAATTTAGGAAATGAATAATAGTGTCTTACAAATGGAACTTTGTACCATGGGAGATGATTGGTTGCCAAAATAATTGTGATTGTGAAACAGACCTTCCCTATAATTAGCTGTGTTCCTGTGATCACACAGTTCTCAAGAAAACAGATTGGGGAAGATGTATGTTCAAGGCTTCTATCTTAGGTAAAGTAGAAAGAAAATAAAAATGCCTTGAAGGACGGACAGTGGTTCAATACCAGAAAAAAACGGTTGTGTTTACCACTTACCACCATCATTATTTCTGTATGATTTTCTTCCCAACGTCCTTGCTTCTTCGATGCCATCACCATCTATGCTCCTCATCTCTTGTATTTCTCCAGCAAAGCTCCACGTTGCTATTGAAATTCACCAGAAATATTCTTTGTGATTCTGTCTTTGCCTGGAATGGTTTTTACCCAACATGTACCTATAGTTGGCTTTCTCACCTCTCTTGGGTTTTTATTCCATGATCACTTTCTCTTCGATCCAAAATTGCATTTGTGCCTGCCACACAAATACATATTCCCTACCCGACTACTAGGTTAGTAGCTCTTTGTAGTGCTTATTCACATCTAACATACTGGATAATACCCATGTTTATCATGTTTATTGTCTCTCAATTACCTCTAGAATATCAGCTCCACCATCGCAGGGATCTCTGACTACCAGGCAACTCCCTTGTAATGTTAATAATCTGTTCCAGAAAATCATATGTTCTGTGTGAAAATGTTAACCAGGAATCCATTTCCTATTATTAGTAGTAGACAGAAAATAATGTATTACATATAAACCCAAAACCACAACCAATTTCCCAACATGTATATAAAACAGTAAAACATTTATAAGTAAAAAACTATCATCAAGCAAAAATGTAAAATGCATGAAAAAAATATTTTTTGGTACTTCAAACAATCTGCTTATTAACAAGAAGTTGTCTTATTTATAGGAACACACCTCTTCTTAAAACCAGAGGCACCCCAGACACACATTTTCTGTGCTGATACCACAATTTTCAAAATATCTACATGTGATTTTCCTGTTTCACAATTTCTTTCATGATAGAACTTGAGACATTTCATGTATAATGTTTAGTTAAAACTCATATTTGAGTTTTAGGAAAATATGTTTTTTTCTAATACATTTTTTTCTCTAAATTTGATTCTAAAAATATTTTATTGAAAGATAATAGGTATTTTCTATGACGTGTTCGTATTAAAAGCCTAGTGGTGTTCTACCCAGAAAACATCAGCAGGGAAACAGTTGGCAGGGTATGCCAGGATTTTGTTCACTGTTCCTCCACAGATCTTAAAACCATACTTGGCACATATTTAAGTGCACAATAAATATTTGATGACGGAAGTAAAAACATTTAGTGCTTACTAGGCTCGGGTCTCTGGATCAAGTGGCCATGGTACAGATATCAACTGTGTATTGCTATAAAAGCTTGAGAGACAAAGTTGTCCCAGTAAGTAAGTAGACCTTTCTAACCACAGTTTTGTTAATAAGATGTGACCCATGGCAAGTGACAGGCTTCTGGAATCCAGTTTCTCCTACTGAATAAAAGGAGAGAGTAGGACTTCAGAATCCTTAAGTTACATTTTAATTTGAACATGTTACCATGTGTAAAATAGAAACTAAAATATTGCTTCTTGATAGAATTTTTGATTGGATTAAATGAGGATTGCATTTAAATCACATAGCACATGGTTAGCGCTCAGTGAATGACAGCTATTATTATTATTATTTTCATTGTTTGATCTATACCTAAAGATGTGTCTGTTCACTTAATTTCCAATTTAGCTTTAGCTACTGTTGAGCCTAGAATGCAGTCAAGGGGTAACTTTATAAATAGTTTTGGAGAAGACTTCTGCCAATTGTCTACAAATTGAATAAGTGCATAGCCACCCATTTTATTGTGGTGAGATCATTAAATCAATTATTTGTCTTCAGTTAAATTAATTAGAGAAGACATCAACCCTCATACTTGGAAGCTCCTATTGGACCTTCAGTAGAATTATAAATTGTTTTAGTTTATTCATTTTTGTATGTCTCCTGCCCTCCATTAGCATGAATAATTAAGCATGAACTGTACAAAATTTTCAAACAAGGAAATTCTTTGATCTTGGGGCATTTCTTGATTCCATCCCTATTTCTTTTTATATTACATTTAAAGAGAGTTGCATTTTTTCCCTTCTACCTCTCACTTTCCAAATTGAGATTTCAATTATCTTATGTTGGGAAAAGAATATTTCTAGGTAGGACTGATAATATGTGTGCTTTAACCTTTTCATACTTTATTATAGTGAGAGGTGTGACAGTAGCAAAGAATAACTACATAAGACAGCATCCCAAAGTTTCTTTAAAGCAGTATCTTGGAAGTATCCAAAAAGATTTGAGGATGAAGGGGGAGAGGCTTAAAAGTATAAATACCAATAAGCATGTGTTACTTTGATAGTCAGGAGGAGTTTTTAAAATGTAAAAACACGATGAAAAAAAGTAAACTTTTTCATTTATGAAAAATCACAGGGTAAATTTAAAAGGTTCAGTTGTTAAGAGTATTTTTTTCCATTTGCACGATCACTAGATTTAATCAGCTCATCAACTGATTTCAGACCATGGCAATTTCTTTTGAATGCTGGGCTCTTTTTACGAAAGTACCAACAACAGGTGAACATGTGTAAAATAAAATTCTCTTTTATTTCCAGGAAAATATGACTGCTGCTGTGATAATATAGATTCATACTGTGATAACATTCTTTTTTAACTTTAAAAGTATTTTATTTTTAAATTACATGTAATAATTGTGCATATCTATGGGGAACATTGTGATGTTTCAATACATACAATGTATAGTAATAATATTAGGTTAATTACCATATCCGTCATCTCAAACATTTATCATTCTTTGTGTTGGGAACATCCGATATCCTTCTATATATTTGAAACTGTATAATATATTACTGTTAACTATAGTTATTCTATAGTGCTACAGAACACTAGAACTTATCTCTCCTATCTAGTTGTAATTTTGTATGGTTTGAAAATTCTCTATCACTCCTTCCCAGCCTGTAGTATCTTGTGTTCTACTTTTTACTTTTATGAGATCAACATTTTTTAGCTTTTGCATGAGTGAGAAGAAGCAGTGTTTAACTTTCAGTTCCTAGCTTCTTTCTTTTTTTAATTTTTTTTTACTTCAGTTTTTTTGGATACATAATAGATGTACATATTTTGGGGGTACATAAGATTATTAACTACATTCATATAATTTGTAAAGATAAATATCAGTGTAGTTGGGATGTCTGTCACCTTAAATATTTGTCTTTTCTTTATGCTAGGAATATCCCAATTACTCTCTTCCAACTATTTTGAAATATGCAATGGATTATTGTAAACTATAGTCACCTTACTGATTTATCAACACTGTCTTATTTCTTCTATAAAACTATATTTATACTCATTAATCAACCTCTCTTTATCCCCCCACCCACCCTTCCCAGCCTCTAATAATCACCAGTCTACTGTCTTTATGAGAACCACATTTTTAGCTCCCACATGTGAGTGAGAACATGCAACATTTGTCTTTCTGTGCTTGGCTTATTTTATTGAACATAACAAGCTCTAGTTGCTTGTAATAGCATTATTGAGATTATCCCAGGGGAAATGAGAGGGGAAGAATAACTTAATAAATCATAGAAAAACCTGAGAGTTGGAAAGAGCTAGTAACCTGGGAAGAAGGCAATTGTTGATTGTGCACTTGTATGTTTGTGTAAATATCGATACTGGCATTTTGTAAGTTACTGTACGACATTTTGAAATAAAGGTCAAAGAATCATGCAAAAGTGATGTGGACATTACTCTTACACTGCATCTCCTGTTGATAAAAAATATGAGGCAAAAATATATGTACATTGGGGAGGGCCTTATGTATCAAGGGCTTGGCCACTCGTTCCGTGGAGGAGTTGTCATTGCTCTCTGGTCTGCAAATGAATGAGGGAGCTAGAGAGATCCTTTGCACTGGAAACTATAAGTTACTCTGTTGTCTAAAGCAGAAGTTGGCAACCTATGGGCTGTGCACCCAGTTTGGACTGCTACCTGTTTTTGTATGGCCTGTGAGCTAAGAATAATGTTTACCTTTTTAAATGATTGGAGAAAAAAATTCACAAGGAGAAAATGTTATGACATGGGATAATTTTATGAAATTCAAATTTCAGCATCCATAAATAAATTTCAGTTCCAATAATTGTATTGGCACATAGACATGCCCTTTTGCTTATGTATTGTCTGCAAGTGCTTTCATAGCACAGTGGCAGGGCTGAGTAGTTGCCACAGGGATGGTATGACCCACAAACCCTAAAATATTTACTAACTGGTACTTCATGTTTGCTCACCCCTGGTTTAAAGGAATTCAAAGCCTTTGAAATAGCATTTCAAAGATTAGGGCTTTGCTTTGCTTGAATCTTCCCATTTATTAATAGAATTCCCAAGGCACTGGGATTGGTTTTATTCTTAGGAAGAATTTAAGGATCTATAACTAAGTAAGAAGTCAACCTTGCTATTCATGTTATAGATCTTCAACCATGATTACGGTAAAAGGGCTCTTACCTGCCTTGGTTTATGTGATGAAGTCTCCTCCTTTTACTGCAGTTTAAGTACCTGTGAGTCTGTTTTTATTGCTGTGTGCTTGAAACCTTACCATGAAACCCTGCCATCATTTCTGACCTCCAGAGGCCAGCGTGTATCTCAGTCTTACTAGTTCTTCTTAAAACCATAATACTTCCCTTGTATCTTCATTTCAGTGATTGACTCCACTGCCACCTACTGTCAGGCTACCCTAATACTGCCTGCTTTCCTGCTTGAGTTTTAGATGATTGCCTGAGGCCAGTTTCCTTTATCATTAACTTCCTGACTTTTCCTCTATCCCCAGTGGAGGGGCTTTCTCTGATGGCTCTTCTTAGTTCTGTGAATCCAGTGTTTTTGCAATGGCTCAATCTCCCGCTCACTGCAAGCTCTGCCTCCCGGGTTCACACCATTCTCCTGCCTCAGCCTCCCAAGTAGCTGGGACTACAGGCACCCACCACCATGCCCGGCTAATTTTTTTGTTTTTAAATATTTTTAGTAAACCATCCTGGCTAACATGGTGAATTTAGTTCTTTCACATGACTATTTTGGCCATTAGAAAGAGCAGATAAGTTATTGTGGGCCTTTTGGGAAGGATGGCCTTGTTGACCTTATCAAGGCCGCATGAGCTGCTAGTGAGTCTAACTCCCCAAGCTTGAGAACAGCAGGTAGAGATGCAGAGGGGAAAATACCAAGAGTCTGCACTCAGTGAAAGAACTGATCACAGACGTACTGAGAGATGGAGAATCTTTCCAGATTCAGCTTGGGCCAATCAAAATCTTTGAGACTAGAGTTTGAGTAGTGTTGATAATTTGCTGATATCCACACAGACAGAATTAAGCATTGAAAAGAAATCAGAGGGCCGGGCACGGTGGCTTGTGCCTGTAATCCCAGCACTTTGGGAGGCTGAGGCAGGCAGATCACGAGGTCAAGAGATCAAGACCATCCTGGCTAATACGGTGAAATCCCATCTCTACTAAAAATACAAAAAATTAGCCGGGTGTGGTGGTGGGCGCCTGTAGTTCCATCTACTCAGGAGGCTGAGGCAGGAGAATGGCATGAACCCGGGAGGCGGAGCTTGCAGTGAGCCGAGATCGTGCCACTGCACTCCAGCCTGGGGGACAGAGCAAGACTCCATCTCTTAAAAAATAAAAATAAAAAAATCAGAGCAGATTAGGCTGTTCTAACCATGTCAGGTTATTGCCAGGTCTTAATTAATTTATGATAAAAATATATGTTTCATTCATCTTGACCATTTCTAGAATTTTGCAAGTGTGGCTTTCTGCCGTAGTTCTCAAGGATGAAGAGTTATAGGTTCCCAAATATGTATTCTGGCTCTGCCAATGTGAGCTTAGGTAACTGCTTTCACTCTCTGTCAATTTTCTCATTGGCAGAATAGGGCAGTACTTGGTTTATTATGAACACTAATATTAAATATAAAGTGACTAACATATTGCTGTTGTATACAGGTAGGCAGGGAAGGCTTCATGGTAAAATAATGTCTGATCAGAGACCCGAGGGAAATGAAAGAATGAGCCATGAACGTTTCTGGGGAAAAGTATTCTAAAGAGGGATAGCAAACACAGCGTGGTGTGTTTGAGAAACCACAGGGAGCCTGCAGAGAAGGGCGAGGAAAAGTGGAGGACATTAGGGAATTAACAAGTTGTGGAGGCCCAGATCATTTACACCTTTGTAGCTGATTGAAATAAATCTGGATTCTTACTCTAAGTAAAATGAGAAGTCATTGGAGGATTTCAAATACTGGAGTAACGTAATTTGGCTTGTGTTTTAGAAAGATTGCTGTGGCTACAGTGTCTCTACACTGTAGGAGAACAAAACCAGGAGGAAAACCAATAAGGAGACTCTGACAGAAAACCAAGGGAGAGAGGTCAGTGGTTTCAAAGAGTGTGGCAGTCATGGTGGTCAGTTCAGATGACGGATATATTTGTAAAATATCATCGCCAAGATTTGTGGAAGAATTAAATGTGAGATGTGAGGGAAAAAGGGGAGTTACATTTACAAATTTTTACAAATTTTTCTGCTTCCATGTATGTCAGGGTAAGATCCTACCAGATAAGCTTCCTGTAAGAAACAACTATGAAAGCTAAAAATAATGCAAAAAGCAACTCTGGAAGGTTACTCACAGTGAACCGAAGTATACTACTTTAGTGAGGAGAGCATGTTATTTTTGGAGGAGGGGAGATGATCAACTCTGCCACTAAGTTCCCTCTTCATGTCCTTCAGCCTAGCACTAAGTGTCCACTGAGTGACACAGGATACACTTATATTGACAGAGTACCGTGGGCAGTGGCAGCAGGAACACATGTAGAAAATCTCTTGTTTTTCTGGCCCTGGGAACAACAAAAGTGAAGCTGGTAATCCATGAATGCCGAAGAGTGTGGAGAACTCCAGAAGGTAAAGAGCTAGAGAAAGTATCGGTCTCCTTACGCCTCTGACTTTCCCCCGAATGTTACACAGGCATACTTCATTTTATCTTGCTGTACTTTATTAGGCTTCACAGACATTGCATTTTTTTTTTTTTAATTTTTACAATTGAAGGTTTGTGGCAACCCTGTGCGAGCAAGTTTATTAGCACCATTCTTTTTTTTTTTTAAACAGAATATGCTCACTTCCTGTCTGTGTGTCACATTTAGGTAACTCTAGCGATGTTTCACATTTTTAAAATTTTATCTGTTATGGTGATCTGTGATCAGTGATCTTTGATGTCACTATTGTAATAGTTTTGAGGTTCAACAAACTACACCCAAATTAGATGGTAAACATTGTGTGTTTTCTGACTGCTCCACTGACTGGCCATCCCCCCATGTCTGTTCATCTCCTCTGGCCTCCCTCTTCACTGAGAGACAACAATACTGAAATTAAGCCAAATAATAACCATATAATGGACTTTAAATGTTCAAGTTAAAGGACGAGTCATACATCTCCTACTTTAAATCAGCAGCTACAAATGACTAAGCTTAGTGAGGAAGGCATATTGAAAGCCAAGATAGGCCAAAAAGCTAGGCCACCTGTGCCAAACAGTTACATTGTGAATGCAAAGGAAATGCTCTTGAAGGAAATGGAAAGTGCTATTTCAGTGAACACATGAATGACAAGAAAGTGAAACAGTTTTACTGCTGATATGGAGGATGTTTTAATAGTCTGGATAAAAGATCAAACCATTCCCTTAAGCCCAAATCTAATCCAGAGAAAGGCCCTAACTCTCTTTAATTCTGTGAAGGCTGAGGGAGGTGAGGAAGCTGCAGAAGAAAAGACTGAAGTTAGCAGAGGTTGATTCATGAGGTTTAAGGAAAGAAGTCTTCTTCATAATATAAAAGTGCAAGGTGAAGCAACAGCGCTGATATAGAAGCTGCAGCAATTTATCCAGAAGATATAGCTAAGATCGTTGATGAATGTGGCTATGCTAAACAACAGATTTTCAATGTAGACAAAGCAGACTTTTATTAGAAGAAGATGCCATCTAGGACTTTCATAGCTAGAGAGGAGAAGTCAATGTCTGGCTTCAAAGGACAGGTTGACAGAGGCTAATGTAGCTGGTGACTTTAAGTAGGAGCCAGTGCTCCGTTACCATTTTAACAATCAATCCTAGGGCCCTTCAGAACTATGCTAAATCTACTCTGCCTGTGCTCTATACGTGGAGCAACAAAGGCTGGATGATAGCACATCTGTTTATAGCCTAGATTACTGAATTTTTTAAGGCCACTGTTGAGACTAATAGCACAGAAAAAAAAATTCCTCTGAAAATATTACTGCTCATTGACAAGGCTCCTAGGTACCCAAGCGCTCTGATGGAGATATAGTAGAAGATTGTTTTCATGCATGTTTTCACACAACACCCATTCTGAAGCCCATGAATTAAGGAGTGATTTTAACTTTCAAGTTTTGTTATTTAAGAAATACATTTTAAGTAATGTAGATAAATTTATGAATTAGACGTCCTAAAATCAGTAAAACCTTAGTCATTTGGCACATTGGAAAACTAATCTTTCCAGATTTAATTTTCTGGGATATTTTAAATGTCAAAGGTTAAGCTAATTTTTAAAATAGAAATATTTTGAATGTATCTTAAATACATTTTAGCTGTCTTTTTTTTTTTAAATCAACTTTTCAGTGTCAGGGTACATGTGCAGGATGTGCAGGTTTGTTATATAGGTAAACGTGTGCCATGGGTGGTTTGCTGCATAGATCAACCCATCACCTAGGTATTAAGCCCAGCATCCATTAGCTATTCTTCTGATGCTCTCCCTACCTTCACCCCATAACAGGTCCCAGAGTGTGTTGATCCCCCTGATGTGCCCATGTGTTCTCATCATTCAGCTCCCACTTATAAGTGAAAACATGCAGTGTTTGATTTTCTGTTCCTGTGTTAGTTTACTGAGGATAACAGCTTCCAGCTCCATCCATGTCCCTGCGAAGGACATGATCTTGTTCCTTTTTATGGCTGCATAGTATTCCATGGTGTACCACATTTTCTTTATTTAATCTATCATTGACGGGCATTTGGGTTGATTCCTTGTATTTGCTATTGTGAATAGTGCTACAATGAACATATGTGTGCATGTATCTTTTATAATAGAATGGTTTATATTCCTTGTGGTATATACCCAGTAATGGGATTGCTGGGTTAAATGGTATTTCTGCTTCTAGATATTTGGGGAACTGCCACGCTGTTTTCCACAATGGTTGAACTAATTTACATTCCCACCAATGGTGTAAAAGCATTACTTTTTCTTTGCAACCTCAACAGCATCTGTTGTTTCTTGATTTTTTAATAATTGCCATTCTGACTGGTGTGAGATGGTATCTTACTGTGTTTTTGATTTGCATTTCTTTAATGATCAGTGATGTTGAGTTTTTTTTTCATATGTTTGTTGGCTGCATGTATGTCTTCTTTTGAGAAGTGTACTGTTTATATACTTTGCACACTTTTTAATGGGGTTATTTTTCTTGTAAATTTAAGTTCCTTGAAGACTCTGGATGTTAGGCCATTGTCAGATGGATAGATTGCAAAATTTTTCTCCCATCCTGTAGGTTGTCTGTTTACTCTGATGATAGTTTCTTTTGTTGTGCAGAAACTCTTTAGTTTAACTAAATCCCATTTATCAATTTTTTCTTTTGTTGCAATTACTTTTGGTGTTTTTGTCATTAAATCTTTGCCTGTGCCTATGCCCTGAATGGTATTGACAAGATTTTCTTCTAGGGTTTTTATTGTTTTGGGTTTCATATTTAAGTCTTTAATCCATCTTGAGTTAATTTTTGTATAAGGTATAAGGAAGGGATCCAATTTCAATTTTTTGCATATGGCTAGCCAGTTCTCCCAGCACCATTTATTAAATAGGGAATCCTTTCTTATTGCTTGTTTTTGCCAGGTTTGTCAAAGATCAGATGTGTGTGTGGTGTGTGATTTTATTTGAGTTCTCTTTTCTGTTCTATTGGGCTATGTGTCTGTTTTTGTACCAGTACCATGCTGTTTTAGTTACTATAGCCTTGTAGTATAGTTTGAAGTTAGGTAGCCTGATGCCTCCAGCTTTGTTCTTTTTGCTTAGGATTGTCTTGGCTATTTGGGCCCTTTTTTGTTCCATATGAATTTATCATAGCTTTTTCCAATTCTGTGAATAATGTCAATGGTTTTAATGGGAATAGCATTGAATCTATAAATTACTTTGGGCAGTATGGCCATTTTCATAATATTGATTCTTCCTATCCATGAGCATGGAATATTTTTCCATTTGTTTGTGTCCTTTCTGATTTCTGTGTGCAGTTGTTTGTAGTTCTCCTTTATCTCCATTACTCACTAGTTGAACTAAGTAACAAGCAAGTAAAATATATGATGTCTTTGTCAAAACAAAAATATCTTAAAATTTTACTTAGGGCTAGATATTTTTATATCTAATGAGAAATTTTAAACCTCAATTTTTTCTTCCTCACTATATCCCAATTAATGTTGATGTATGCATATTAAAAATGAAACATTTTATACAAAATTAGCAAGGCATGGTGGTGCATGCCTGTAATCCCAGCTACTCGGGAGGCTGAGGCAAGAGAATTGCTTGGGCCCGGGAGGCGGAGGTTGCGGTGAGCCAAGATCACGCCATTGCGCTCCAGCCTGGGCAACAAGAGCAAAACTGTCTCAAAAAAAGAAAATAAATAAAATAAAATAAATCACACCAATAATACTTTCAAATGTATAAACCTTTAAGGTATGAAGTAAAACAAACCTTACCTTAGACACAGGGTCTTATTCCTTTGTGGAAGCTTATTTTTCTAATCTGGAAAACAAGATGAGTATTGAATATTTTATACATATGATGATAAAATATGAAACAGTACTTTTTCATATTTTATCATATTTTTAAGATGTAGATTGAAACTAATGTACATTTTATACTATATTAGTAAATTGACCTTTGTAAATGTTTTAAGATAAAAATTAAATGTATGAGAATACACAGTAGATTGAATAAATGTGCTTAATCAATTTAAAAAAGAAATAGGCCGGGCGTGGTGGCTCAAGCCTGTAATCCCAGCACTTTGGGAGGCCGAGGCAGGCAGATCACGAGGTCAGGAGATCGAGACCATGGTGAAACCCTGTCACTACTAAAAATACAAAAAATTAGCTGGGCACGGTGGCAGGCGCCTGTAGTCCCAGCTACTAAGGAGGCTGAGGCAGGGGAATGGCATGAGCCTGGGAGGCAGAGCTTGCAGTGAGCTGAGATTGTACCACTGTACTCCAGCCTGGGCCACAGAGCGAGACTCCGTCTCAAAAAAAAAAAAAAAAAAAAAGGAAATAAATTGTGTATGGCTATAGCTGCCATAGATAGTGATTACTCTGATCTGGGAAAAGTTAGTTGAAAACCTTTCAGAAAGGATTCATTATTCTAGATGCCACTAAGAACAATTATGATTCAAGGGAGGAGGTAAAACTATCAACATTAACTGGAGTTTGGAAGAAGCTGATTCCAACTGTCAGTCATCAGGGGTGACTTTGGGGGGTCCAAGACTTCTGTGGAGGAAGTACCTGCAGATGTGGCAGAAATAGCAAAATAACTAGAACTAGAAGTAGAAGTAGAGCCTAAAGAAGGGAGTGAATTGCAATCTTATGATGAAACTTTAATAGATGAGGAGTTGCTTCTTACAGGTGAGCAAAGGATGTGCTTTGAGATGCAATCTATTCCTGGTGAAGATGCTGTGCACATTGTTAAAATGAAAAAGGGTTTAGAATTTTCTATAAACTTAGCTGATGAATCATCAGGATTTGAGATGATTGATTCCAAGACTGAAAGAAGTTGTACTGTGGGTAAAATGCTATCAAATAGCATTATATGCTGCAGAAATTTTTCGTGTGTGTGAAAAGAGGAGTCAATGTATGTGACAGACTTCATTGTTGTCCTGTTTTAAGAAATTCTCAGTCACTCCAACCTTCAGCAACCACCACCCTGATAAGTCAGCAGAGATCAACATCAAGGGAAAATCCCCCACCAGCAAAAAGATTACAGCTCACTGAAGGCTCAGATTATTGTTAGCAATATTTACCAATAAAGCATTTTAAAATTAAGGTATGTACATTTTTTAAGACATAATGCTATTGCACACTTAATAGACTACAGTATAGTGTAAACATAGCTTTTATACGTGCTGGGAACCAAAAAATTCATGTGACTCACTGTCTTGTGATATTCACTTTATCACGGTGGTCTGGATCCGAACTTGCAGTATCTTGAGGTATGCCTGTATGTGCAGACTACACTTGGAACAGCTTAGATAAAAATTAGACTGAAGTGAGACTGGAGCTGTTGCCCAAGGAATAGGGGTTGTAGTACAAGTCTAGCTGGAAATATTACCTGCCTGAACAAAGGAAACAATACTAATGGAGAATAATAGCAGAATTCAGAATCTTCACAAATTAACATACATGACATTAAAGATGAAACCTAAAAGTACTTAGCATACAAAACGAACAAAATGGAACTCATTCTCAAGAGAATATAAACTCTACTAAGTCTAACTCAAGGATCAATAAGATGTTAGAAATAATAGACAAAGATTTAAAAGTCACGGAAATACTTATCCTCTATGAAGTAAAAGAAAGCATGTTTTCAATGAAGAAAATTTGAGCAGAGTAATAGATACAGGAAGAAAATTAGATGTAAATTGTAGCATCAAATAATGTAATTTCTAAAATAAAAATATTAGCAGGATAGATTTAACAGCTGAATGAAAATGACAGAGGAAAGAATAAGTAAAGATAGATCAATAAAATTATCTAAGGTGAAGAATGGAGAGAAAATTGAAAAAATGAGCAGAATGTTGGTGAGCTGTGAGACAACATTGAGCAGTCCAGCATATGCAGAACTGGAAACCTAGAAAGAGAAAAGAGAAACAGGGGCAAAAAAATATTTTAGGAAATACCAAAAATTTCCCCAAGATACATGAAAGACAGAAAGTCTGTAAATACAAGATGTTAAACTAACACCAAGCAGAATGAACACAAATAAGCCTGTTTAGAAACATATTACAGTCAAACTGTTGAAAGCCAAAGATAAAGAACAAATCTTGAAAGAGCAAACTGACATATTACATATAGGGAAACCAGAATCTAATAGCTGCCTTCTTATAAGAAACTATGAAGTCCAGAAAGAATAAAACATCTTTAAAGTAATAAAAATAAAACAAAATCACAAAACCTGTCGACTTAGAAGTCTATTTCACTGAAGATATCCTTCAAAAATAAAGATGAAATAAAGACATCTTCAGATAAAATAAACTAAGACAATTTGTTGCCACCAGACCAGCATTATAAGAAATGCTAAAGGACATTCTTTACTTTTAAATATCTTTTGTTTGAATTTTATTTTATTGTGATAAAGAACACAATACAAGATCTATTTCTTAACAGTTTTTTAAAGTATATGATACATTGTTGTTCGATACATCTCTAGAGCTCATTCATCTTGCTTAACTGAAACTTTATGCCTATTGATTAGTCATGTTCTTTAGAATAAAGAAAAATGGTAGAAATTTAGGTTCTCAGGAAAGAATGAACAGCATCAGAAATGGTTAACATCCGTATAAAAGCAAATGAAAATTTTTGTTTTGCTTTTTACCTCATACCTTTAAAAACTATGTAAGCATTTAAAGCACAAAATATAACTTCCTATTGAGGGGATTATAATGTATGTAGGTATCATAGAGATACAACCATTATAACAAAGGATGAGAGAATATGAAACTGTAACTGTGCTAGATTTCTATGTTTTATGTGAACTAGTAGTATTAACTCTACTGTCTGTGAAGAGTCAGAGATATACATTGCAATCCCTTCAGTCAACAGTTGAAAAGATTGCAAAGAAGTGTAGCTAAAATATCAACAAAAAATTGAAATAAAATTCCAAATACATTTAAATACCACCCCTAAAAAGGTAGGAAAAGAGGAATAGAGGACAGTCATGTAGAAGACAAAAATTAAAATGGTAAATTCATACTTAATCATATCAACATTACATTACATTAAATGTTAATGGACTAAACACTCCAAATCGAAGTTGATATTGTTAGAATGTATTCAGACAAACAAACAAAATGTATTTTGTATAAAAGTGATGCATATTAAATGTAAATACACAGGTTGGATGAAAAAAAGATATCTATATATGTAGTAAACATAGGAAGGCTGACTTTGCCATATTAACATTAGATAAAATAGATTTAAAAACAAAATAGTATTAAGAGAGATTGTTCATAATGATAAAAGGTTCAATTCTTCAGGAAGTCATAACATTCATGAAGGTGTATGGGCCCAATAACAAAGATTCAAAAGATAGGAGGCTAAAGTTGACAGAATTAAATGGAGAAACAGCCAAGTATACAATCATATTTGTATATTTTAATAGCCCCTCTCAAGAACTGAGTGAACAATTAGACAAGAAACAAAAGACCATCAAAGCCATAGACAATCTGAACAACACTATCAATCTCTTTGACTTAATTGATATTCATATGTCGATACAGCCCCAGACAACAAAACACTTCCTTTTAAAGTGCACATAGTACTATACCAGAATAGATAATAATCTGGCAATAGAACGTGTCTCAATAACTTTAAACATATTGAAATTATACTGTTCTTGACAACAATGAAATTAAAGAGTCAATAATAGTGAGATAACCAGAAACACCCCCACCAAACCCTGTGCCAAGAACATACAGCAATTAAATGAAAGACATCTAAGTGATCGTTTGGTCCAAGAAAAAATCACAAGAGAAATTGGAATCTGTTGGAACAGAATGATAACAAGCATACAACATCAAGTTTGTGGGATGCAGCTAGTGATGGAGGTGGCCTTACAGGTCTCCAGAAGTATTGAGTAATTGATTATCCACAGATGAGGTAGGAAGAAGGGTTTTATGCTCCTGAACAGCTCATTTTCATAGTCCTTTCTGCTCTGCACCTTGGTCCTGTTCAGGAAAGATTTTTCTTCTGTCTTAAACTTTGAATTCCTTCTGAGTTTGAAAGTTACTATTCTGCCTTTTCTCTTTCCTTATCTCAGGCCATCCTAACTCAGTTCCCAGAGGGAAAATATTAGCCTGGCAAATAGGCCTCAGAGAAGGGAATTATTGCTTTGCAATTAAGTCAGCAATTCCTTTGAATGTATTTCTGCACTTTGGTGTGGGCTGGGAGAAGGAAAATGGCCCTTGGGGTGAAAGAGAAAGTATGAAGTGGTGGGGCAGGAAGTTAATGGAGCCAAGTCTTGAAGAGGAAGAAGCAGCCAATAAGAGCACATTGAAAGATTCACTATTGAAATGGGAGGGAGTAAAAGATAGAGACTTATCTTCCTTATAACTTGGGGAGAATGGAGAGGCTGGGAGGGAGTAAAAGATAGAGACTTATCTTCCTTATACCTTGGGGAGAATGGAGAGGCTGGGAGAAATCTTTACTAAGAGATTTCAAATGATTCTGTCTGGTCTTCTCTCTGACAGGTACAGGGGCTATACCTTCATCCTACCACCACCACTCTAGGTGTCCAAGGCCCCATTCACCAACCATAGAGCTTTCCATTAGTTATGGCAAACTGAACTGGGGTTGTCCACATAGTGTGCTTCATATAGCTGCTGGCTGTTTTGGGGGCATGTGGAGCAAACATGCCCCCAAAAGGGAGCACAGAGGTGCAGCATCTTCTGCTGGATAGTCAGTGGATGACTTGCTGGCTTGGTTTAATGGTCTTTACCGAGTGGCTAGAGAGGAAAAAGTATGGGCTTGTTTCTGTGATGCAGGACTTCCTACCTAATTTGCTCCTGTTGCTGTTTTCTCTTGGATTTTCTTTTCTCTAAACTGTAAAGTCTTTCATCTTCATTTGGAGTGCCTCAAAAAGGCATTTGATTCAGTTTCTTACATTAAATTGAGTGTGTTTTTACTTCTACAGTGGCCCAGTTCTGATAGCCATGGGAAAGTGAATCATTTCTAACTGAAAGCAAGCCTAAACTTGAATGTTGGCTCTTTGAGGGTGCAGCACACCAACATGGCACATGTATACATATGTAACTAACCTGCACATTGTGCACATGTACCCTAAAACTTAAAGTATAATAATAAAAAAAAGTCAAACATGACAGGAGATGAGGAAAGGAAATTGGGAAGCACACCACTTAGAAATGTAAAGTATCATCCAGCAAGGAAAACAAAGTCTAACTAAAGATAGAAAAATGGAGGTAAAGGGAAAGGAAGTTGGGGCTATTTAGGCAAGGTGATTGTTTTCAGTGATAAACTAACCAGGGTCATCTGTTGAGTTTAAGAGAGCAAATGAGTTATAATAGTTTCCCTTTTGCAGTGTTATGCATATGATATCTAAAAAATATTCTATTTTTGTGAGGATATCTAATGAAAGAATGAGATAAACACTTTCCAATGGAAGATAAACTCATCTATAACATCTGCAAAATAAAAAACATCAATGGAGAATTACAATAAAAATGGGTAGTTTACTTTCAGAGTTTAATAGCATTAAAAGTGCTTTTAAAAATGAATTTTAGATTCCTTAGAGGAAGAAAAAAACCATGAAGTCAAGCAATTTAATGTGAACTCAGATTATAAAAATACATGATGTTTGGCCATCAAATTCAGTTAAAGAAATGCTGATCTGAGGTTGTTTCTCACATTGTGACCAACAATACCTCTTCTTCTCCTTTCTCACTTACGCCACGCTGCTCCATTTGTGGAGCTCCATTTGCTCCATTTGCCTTTAGGATGCCAGAATTCAGCAGCAAGGTATTATTTAACTTGAGAAGAAAAATTGCTTGGCTTTATAGCTTTCAAAGGACCATGTGTCATGATGTTATGCATGAAAAGAGTTTTCCTGTAGGGGAACTAGTTTTATAAGCAACGAATGACCACGGGGAATACACCGTAGTTATTTTAAAGAGCATTTGAAGAACTCTAACAAATTAACATTTTATACTTCATAATATACCTCCTTCCTAAAATTTGCCAAGAAAGCCTCAACCACTGATTTTTACAGTCATCAAATGTAGAGAGTATCCTTGGCTAACACCCAGCTACACTTGGTGGCTGGTTTTATTCCCCTTACTCTGTTGTTCTGCTGGGTGAGGGGCTTCGTAGAAAGCAGGTTTCAAGAGAAGAAAAAACAGATCCATTCTTTTCCTTTTTTTCCTGACTCTTATATGTATTATATTTTTTACAGAATGCTTTATCTGATACTTGCATTATTACAAATATGTTTTATTAATAATACATTCTGGATATATTTTTAGCTTCAGAAAATACATCCTTTATTCAGCCTTCTTCAAAAGGTGGGTATAACACAGAAGTATCTCCAAGATCCTTTTTAGCTCTAAGAAAAGGTGTTTGAATTGGGATACACACCAAGTAAGTTTGCTTTTGTGTGTCTACTTCCCAGACTGCAGAAAGAGTGCCAGCAGAATTGTTCAAAAGTTAAGTTGGCTATTTGTCATAATGCTCTGGAGATCAGTCATATTTAGGGAATTGATTAACACTCATCGTAGTTGCTTGTTGAAAGGCTACTAGGAGAGATAGATGAGTAAGAAGGCATTGATTAAGATAGTTTTCTGTTTTGTCTCACTGAATTGACTGCCAAGAAAAGTTGGCCATTTTCAATTAAAGCCATCTCTACATCCTGGAGCCACTAAACACTGAAGATAATTTATATATAATTCAATTAGTCATTAAGAAGTTTACAGATAATTGAATGTTTGCTGTCATGCAGATAAAAATGGTAATTAAAGTGTTTAGTTCCCATCAGCATACTAGATATCACAGATACATAATCATAAACCAGGTTCAGCAGTCTTTGCAACAACAAAAATTGAGCCCTATTTTCCATCCAAAATCTTTTATTCCTTGCCTACAACTCACTCATTTTTGCTTTAAAGTGTGTGTGAATAAGGTTATGATGCTTTATATCATCTTCATGTTTTTCTCCTTCAGTTGAATGTACATGGTGTGGACTCTTGATGCTTGAGCAGCTTAAATTTTTTCAGTATTTAATTCAAAGTTATAATTTTTAAGATTTTTATTTAAAAATTGATGTAATAACATGTATCCAGCAAAATTAATATAATTATATATGACTTAATCTTTAGTTTCAAAATCTACAATAGTTAATATGTTTAAGATATTTTTAATTATTTTATATACATTATCCAAGTCTTATGTCTACATGAAGTATAAATTGATTATTGAATACTGTAATTAGAGAAAAATATTTGTGATAGTGTATCCTTTGAAAATTCATTACATTTGTCTTTAAACATGTATTATAATAATCTTAAAACAATGTTTCAGAAAAATATTGTACTTTTGTTCATATAGAATATGTATTATAGTTTATTCTACTGTGAAACAATACTAAATTATATTCTACTTTGAAACACTAATGTTTTAAAACAAATATCTAAGTTCAGATTGATAACATGTGATATGGTTTGCCATGAAACTGCTTTGAAAAAAGCTAAGACTTCAGAGACCTTTTCAAAATAAAAAATGGCAAGAATCTCATTTGAAAAGACTGCTTAAAATTTTCAGGTGAGAATTTTTTGCATTAATTACATTTTTTAAAACTGCCTTTAAAAAGCTGGTAGTATTTAAAAAGCATATTTATTCTTTGTTACCTTTTTGAAGAACAAAATGCTTAACAACTTTTATCGAACCTCTTTCATAATTTGAATGTAGTCAAAAAGGAGAAAATAATTCCATGATTTTCTGCACTATTTCATGAAGACCTTATTAGAACTTCAATTCTGAATCATAATTCATTTGTAAATCCATTGTGAACTCTGTATTAATTAAGAGTGAGTTATTCCCTATGGGAAAATTAGAGAAATAAAACCTTAACTTTCAACATGAAAGGGGCTCGTGTCAATATTGCTTCAAGACTGATAACATTTTAAGTGTTTGATATTTGGAAAGAAGTGTTACACAACTGACATGAGATAAAGTAGATAATTTTTCAAAGTTAGTCAGTAGTACCTTAGTAGACTGTAATAGATTTGTTAACCTGTTAATAAAATGAAGTCCAACAGGATTTTTAAATGACTCAAAAGACAAGAGGGAAAGTTATAGTCTGGCAGTGACAGTTGGCAAACTTGCCTTACATGCTTTTAAGAACAAAATTGATAACATCCATGATTGGCTGCAGTTCAGGGTGCCCAATTCCAATGTGCTGTCAACCGTATATTTTTACTATTGATTAACACTCTAGCTACATTCTCTTCAGAATTTTGATGTTGAACAGTTATTTTAGGAGCAGCAGCCGTATGTTTTTCTCTCAGACCTGTGATGAAATATATGAAAAAGAATCAATTAATATGTTCTTATGGATAAAGTTAATGTTTCCATTAATCGTATTTTATAAATCTAAGGAAACTGTTTTAAAGTCAAAGAAAAATCAATTTTAGTAAAAATATTTGAAAAGAATGCGCACACTGCTAGGCTCAGTACCAAATGAATATATTCAAATAATGTGACTTTCCAAGTAGTATCCACACACTTGGATCACATATACAATATCAGATGAATTCAGCATAAACGTTAATGTCCATTCCATAGAACTGCCTAATCCTCAAATTTCACACATATATATAAAATAAATCTAAACAAGTTAAACAACCCTGTTCTCTAATGTGTATAGAAATTTGTCTCACTTATAAAAGTGTTCATAAATTTTTTTCACTTGACAAATATTTATTGAATGTCTCGTATATGCTGTATATTGTTCTAGGGATATGGCAGACAATGGAACAGACAAAAGCCTCATTTTTATGAGCTTATGTTCTATGGAAGATGACAAAGCAGATAAGACAGAAAATATATAGTCAAATAATAAGTACTTTGGAAAAAAATGAAGAAGGGAGCGGGGATAGGACAGGTAAACAATGTCAAGGAAGGCTTTCGTGAGAAGTTATCTGAATAAAGACCTAAAGAAGTGAGGTAGTAGGTCATGGAGGTCAAGGGGAGGAGCACTTTAGCTGAAGAACACATCTTTTTGAGATGAGAGCCTGATGAGAGGTTTTGAGGGCTAGTGAAGATGCCAGTGTGGTTGGGCAAAGTCAGCCAAGGGTGTCTGGTGGGAATAGGATGTCAAAGGGATAATGGGGTTGGAGGGCAAACTGTTTAGAGCCTTCTAGGCTACTGTAGGGATACTTGGCTTTTACTGTGGGTGAGATTGGGAAACTCCTGGAAGGTTTAGGCAGAAGAGTGTCATATTCTGATTTGTAATGAAAGAATCACTCTACTATTCTGAGATTAGGCTGTAGGAATCAGGGATTGAAACAGGGTAACAATTAGTTGGATGATCGAGTGGTGTTGAGACTGGTGTATTTGATTCCAAGGCTACTTGAAATATGTGCAGGGACATAAGTCTTTAAAATAATAAATGTCCAGATCTACTAACTGTCAAACATTTAGCTGCCTGGTAATGAATCTGGGGTCAAGGCATTGTACCTCACTCTTCCCATCTTCCACTTGACATCATCTTTCGCTTTCAAAAGAAAGCCTTATTTCTCTTTTATTCTAGATTTTACTGTGATGCATTTTCCCAGGGTGTAAAAACTTCGAGTGAAAAATGAAGGGACAATTTCAAATATTTTTATTTGACATTCTCGCTTCTTTCACCTACCTTCTGTCACTAGAAAAACTATCATTCCTGTGGGAGATACCTTTGAGAGCAAAACAAACTGAGGTTTTATCATGTCACAGATTTACAACAAGGCTGTCTGTTTTATTCATTCACTTATTTATCTGTTCACCTACATATCTATCTGAGAATTTAGATTTTTGAAGATTGTTTCCACAAGAAACTTTATTAAAACAATTATTTAAGTGGAAAAAAATCAAGTTAGACTATTCTAATTGTGTACAGCTGGTTTGATAATAACTGATTTTCCCATTTCCATTCACATTTTTCTTAAATTGGATTAGGAAAGTCTGCAGCTCTATAGCTTTAAGCAAAAATACATTCAAAGCCTGTGATAAGACATATTTTATTTAATAATTTGTTTTGTAAAACATTTAGAAAATAATTATATTTTGATTTTTCCTTGTTGTTTCTAATTGTATCTTGTGAAATAGTTGTCTGTAAGTGAAGGAGTAGTAGGTATACTGAATAGCAGTTTAGTAAATATCAGTAATTTTTTTTGGTATATATTTCATAAATTTAAAAATTGAATAACTTTAAATGACTAGACAAATAAAGGTAAAGACTAATAGTATTTTCTACTTGACAAAATTATTTAAGTTAGTAGTTGATTATCAAAATAATTTTTATGAGAGACTACTATGGATTTTTGTTATAAAACTTGGATAGAGTTCAATTAATTTGTAATATTAAAAAGTCTATTCTAACTTATTTATGTGAAGTGTCTCAGTACTTATATCTATACAGGAAAATAAGTGTAAAATGAATTGCTGTTAAAATGTATACAATGAATAAGTTTTCATCTATGAATAGGTCAACTAATTGGAGGTAAAAGTCCCCATCTATCTTATTAGAGTGTGCCAGTCCAATAAGATGGTATGTTTCTTATTTTTTCCTTTAGTAATTACAAAGTATTCCAAAATTTGATGTCATTTTCATCAATTATATTTCACTAATAATGGAAAAGATAACAATTCAAAATATATTTTAAAATTTTAGGATTTATGGGCCTAGGAAATTGAAAAGTATCACATTCTAGACATTTTTATTGCAGAGAAGTTTGTTAGGTGATCAATAGAAGAACCAGCACTATCCAATACAAATGTAATTTTAATAGAATTGCATATAGAAACCACATATATAATTTTAAATATATGCTGAAAATAAAAAGAAATAGGTGAGATTCATTTTAAAACATAATTTTATTTTATCCAATGTACCAAAATATTATTTCATTGTCATGCCATCAATATAACATTAATGAGATAGTTTATAAAATAGAAAATATTATATTTTCATATTGTGAAAATCTGAAATCTAGTGTGCATTTTACTTTATAGCACATCTCAATTTGGACTAGTTACATTTCAAGTGCTTAGTAGCCACACGTGGCTACTGGCTAATGACTATTGGCTAATACTCTGTACAGAACAACTCTAAATTTCAAATAGATATGTACATACATACATATATTACAAGTTTAATTAGAAAAAGAATTACTTTAACATTTCCACTTGTTAAAAAAAATGCTTATTCATGTATATATTTTTAAGTGGAAGATGGTGGGGTTAAAACAATATGGCATTTAGATTAAATGGGATTATGTAAAATAAAATTTATTATTTTCAACAACTTAAACTCATAATGCAATTTTTAGTTCTTGATTTAAAAATGTTTAGAGGAGGATGTGGGCAAACATGTTTGAAGACTGCTAGGCTATTTCAATAATACTGGCAAGAGATGATGATAACTTGGGCCAGATACTGAAACTCAGTTGAATTCTGGATGTATTTTTAAGCTTCAGGTCACTGTCCAGATTTTTTAAGACAAAAAAGGTAGAAATGGTTGCTTTTAAACCTGGAAAATATTGCTAGTGAAAGGATCCTTTAGGTTCTCATCAGGAATATATAAGTTTAGAAACCACAGTATATTACAGAGATTTTAAAAAATAGAACCTCATCCTGTGCCATGTTACCCTAGGCGGACTTCCCGTAATTGTTATGTCTCAATGCCATTGGGACCACTAATAGTGTTTGAAGCATGATAGCAAATTGTCTGTGGTGGTTTGGCAGGACTTCAATCTGTAATTGTAAACATTTTCTCAACATCTTTAGGATTGCCTCCATTATATTTGGGACTCTTTCTAAATTACAGTTTGGTACTCAGCCTGTCTGGTGTGTATTTTTCAAACACTCAATCCCTACCACAGAAAATTGGAGACGATACACACATCAGATAGTTCTATCTGATTCAACTTTGGATTTCTATGGATGGATGACAATTTAAACGATTTAAAATTGGATTGTCATCCAATTTTTTCAGGTTGAGGGCTTGTAAGTCAGTTCCTTCTCACCAAAGCCTCTGAGGAAAGATTAGAGAAATCCCTTTCTCAAGATTTCTGCTGTTCTTTTATCTACCTGTGGAATTTGTGGTCTTGGAAGAAGGACGTCTTTAGGTGGTGAAGCTCTTTTTTATCTTGGTGTAACTGAACTCAGATTTTTTTCCACTGCCCTTATGTGACACTTCCTTGGAAGGAGCATATAGTTTCACTGTATCTATGATTCTATTCTCTTGCTTCAAGATTCTAGAGTCTTATATTCTGTTAAAGGGAGTCTTTGGGCTTTTTGTAATCATGAATTACAGCCATTTTAAAATTCCCTTTAATATTCATATTATTTCTACCAGAATAGGCCTTTTGCTTTAAGTGAACAGAAACTCCTTGAGAAAATTTCGTTATATTGCTATTAGCACCTTCCTTTCAAAATATAGAGTCATGTAGTATCTATATTCGTTGAATCTTTTCATATATATATGTATATATATATATATATATATAAAGTCTATTAGACTACTTATAAAATAGAAGCTTTCATGCATCTTTTCTTAAAGCAATTTGTCGGGGTAGAATGAATCAAATTTGGTATTTTTACCCTTGGAGATGAGACATTTATTGACATGTGGTATGTAGATACTGTTAAAGCCACTCAGGTGTGACAGGCAGTCCTCTCCATGCAGTGTGCAAATAAAAGATGGGATTAGACATGAAGATTTGACTAGAGATTTTGGGCCCTAAAGTTTTGCATATTTTAAACTTTTTATTAGATAACTGATATGTTTTCCTCAATTGCAACATTTCGAATAGGAGCAAAATCTACTGATTTAGGGATAACACATTCTTAGGAATTTAAATTTCAGTTTGTTCTGGGGAGATTTTCTTTCTACTTTATTTCCTTCTTAACTCTCTTCATATGATTTGATTGTTTACTTCATATTTATATATAGTATAAACTATCAACATATTGTAAGACAAATAGATGGTCTAAACTATATAAATCCTCTGTATATAAATTATATGTCTATTGTATACATATTACTCAATATATGTTTCTGCATATAAATTAGGTATTGTGTTTTTATACCTATTAAGTATCAGAAAAATTTAAGTTAATGTATAGTTTAAAATATCTTATTAGTTGCAGTTCTTGAGAATTCAACAGTACTCTGAAAAATGATAGCATTGTACAAGAATGCAGAATGTGTTATGTGTGTATTTGGTGGGGGTGAAGTATATTTGTCTTCACAACCATGTGAAGATTTGAGTTTTCTGGTCAGATAATCTATTTTTATTTTGACATCACAGTTTATCTGAGAGACTGGATAAATATTTGAATGTGTTTTTATTTTTCATCTTTTAGAATATTTGGCTAGAATAATTTCTAGATGAGAAGTTTTTGTTATTCATTATATTTCAGCTATTTGACAAATACAGGATTTCTTATAGAAATCATATGGATAAAGGTTATCTTTAGGTCAGAATAGTATAGAATTTTGGTTACATTCATACATAATATAGTCCACTGTATTATGTGGATTCTGCAAAATTATTTATTTTTTCAGTTGTCCACCTATTCAGTCCACATTTATTTAGTACCAACTATTTGCTAGGAACTTTGGTAGAAACTAGAGATATGAATTTAACCATTTTCAAAATGAACAAACTTGGTTTAGAGGGAAATATTCATATAAGCTGATTACTATATTTACTATCAATTGTTTTCTGTAATATAAGGTGCAAGGTATACATCATGTCTTCATATGCATAATAAGTCATACTATGTTTATTCCAATATTGGTATAAATTTTTGAAATTGAGAATGGCCTTGAAATTGGTTTGTAAGCATTGTCAGAAAATGAGTATCTTTGTAATTATGGTTTTTTAAATAGTCTAATTTTGTTCAAAAATATCTCTCATGATTACATATATAATTCACCAGATTTGGATCTGAGTGGCTCTTGCTATTTTAAAAATCAAATTTCTTCAGAAAGGGAAAAATGATTTTGCTTCAGTTAAGATGATTAAGAGGTAACTTAGAAAAGAATCTTGCAAAATATTTTAAGCAACATGCCAAATAAAATCTCAACACCATTTCTAAAAATACAATCTAAGAATGAGCCTCCAGACATCCATATACACATGTGCCTGCATGTGCAGTCATATCTCCTGCAATAATCATTCAGCATCATCTAAATCCCAAGTAGTATGGCCAAATCTGAGCATCATAAAACTAGAATTACTTTCAGGAGTACTTTCCATGGACTGCCATTACTAGGAAAGGGAATCATTTTCACAATTATTTTAGAAAGACCAAGAAACATGCTGAAATCCATACTTACGTATGTATGTATGTATGTATGTATGTATGTATGTATGTATGTATGTATCTATCTATCTATCTATCTATCTATCTATCTATCTAATTATAGCTCATTATGTAAACCAATATGTGACACTGCTGGAACATGTTTCCACTTAGAAGGATGCTGAGCCATTTTATTGATTTCTATATAGATACCTTTAATCTCACATGAGGTAGAGATCTGACAGCTGCCCTAACTCAGTGATTTTATTGTCTATTCTTTCTATATTTTATGTAAAACCAAGTTTTCAAAAAGTTATACATTATTTCTTTCAGTTTTCTTGATTCATTACAATTGATTGAATTACCTTTTGCTACAGTCATTATGATCAAATGTTATGTATGCTTTGCAATGTTACGATTTTACTTAAAAAAGACATTAACAGCCAATCACTATTAAATTGGTTTTAATGAATTTAAAACTTCAGTAGGTATTTTAGAACTCACAGATAGAACACATGTAAACCACCCTAAATGACATTATTCAAGGGGAATGATATTTGGAACTCTGTTTCAGTTTGTTTATAAAATGTTCAGTTCTAGCCGTTCATGGTAACACTTAATATTACTAATGTGTGGCTGCTATTTATGGGCCTCAGTGAAGAGATGGTTTCAAAAGCATGCATTGAGATGGTTGTAAGCCAGCCTTAAACAATGATGACATACAAAGGCTATATGAATTTAATAAAATGCATACAATAGTGAAGTCAAAGTCACAGGTCACATGTTTCTCTGTAAACACTTTTATGAAGGTTCTTTTTGTCGTCTTTAGTGTTGTGATTTAAATTTGCAGATGGGAATTTTCATAAATATAGAATCCAACTGAAATCACTGATATTAGTTTCCTTCGTCTGAGATACTCGTTTTCTATCCAGTAAAAAATATGAAAGGCAAATTTCTAGAGTGTCAAAAATATTTGTTTAGTATTTACAAGGCAGAATATCCCAGGTGTCTACGTTGGTCCACTTCTTCATTCTTTGTATGGAGATTAGATTTTTCTAAATTTTATAGAAAATACATTCTTTCAGATAAACTCTCTAATCCCTCCTCCTATACAGAGATGCTGGTGCTATTACTGATAAGACATAAGGACAGTGACTTCTTCACCCCATGCATTAAAAAAAAAAATGTTGTGCCTCTCTAGGATTTCTCTACTACCTACTGAAAATGTGTTTTGTCTGAATAATCATCGTGATGTATCATTGCTCTGAATTAAGAAAAACAATGGTCTCCAATTTTTTGGTTATACTCTGAAACAGTGCTTCTAAAATTTTTTTGTGCCTTTAGATCACCTAAGCTTCTTGTTAAAGTACAGATTCCAACTCAGTAGGTCTGGAGTGAGGCCTGAGATTCTGCATTTCTAACAAGCCCCAGGGATACCCAGGCTGCTTATAGAGGGACCACATTTTGAGGAGCAAGATGCTAAAGCTGCTCAAGGTATTTGTGGAGCAGCAGATAAAGCAGACATGCAAAGAATGATTTGCTAAGATCCAAGAACAATTCCCTAGCAAGATGGTTTGCTGCCTTTCTACTGTTTCTTTACTGCTATCTGCTCATGAAATCATTTTTAGTAGCTGATCTGTACTCTTTAATTCAACCTGCTCTATTGAGAAGAGAAATAATAAACAACATGATGTCAGATCACAACTTCATAAATTTTGGACATTTTAAATCTAACAGCCATTAAGTGTCTATTATAAATAATTCCAAATGAGCTCCTTTGCTTTTAAAAATGTACATTTTCCCTTTTAACTTGGAAATGGTTTGCTTGTGTGCTCAAGCTACTAGTCATGGGAAATTGTTGAATTGCATTTTTTTGGTGATACATGGACTGTATTTCTTGTTTTCTTTGCTATTATGAAAATACAACTTTTAATGGATAACTTTAAACATTATTATAAGGATTTGGTCTGCATTATGACCAAAATCTTGTAGCACTGGAACTTTTTCTCATTGAAAACAAGTTTGCATTCTAGAATTCTGCTGAAATAGGAACAATACAGAATGTACTTTGGGCCAAGTATTTTAAAGACGTCAGATGGTAGAGAAGATCTTTGTAGCTCAATGGACATAAATATGTGTTATTAGATTAGTTTTTTCCTTTGCCTTCAGAGGGTTCTTTTATTCTGAGTTAATTTGGGGTTAGAGTTGCTTTATTTAGCTATAATGAGATATGATTTATGGAAACAAGTTATTTGGCAAGGTGGAGGAGAAGGTGTTATTTGTGGTTGTGCAGCATGGTGCAGTCATGTATGTAATGTAAAGTAGGTTGAGAAAGACTGAGAAAAGATGTTTTCTTCCCAGCAAGGGCTTATATTTTCACAGCTAGCTGGTTATGTTCTGGTAGACATGTGTACCTGGCTTGTAGCCATTTACCTATCCTTTATCAAATGAATTCATTTCTGATACAAATGGGCAAAGAATAACAGATGTGTCCATATTTACAAATTTAAGACATTTTTTGAATTTAGGCAGTCTTGAGAATTCCATTGCTGTAAATATAAATTCCTTTCAAATGTGAGAATGTTGGAGTACTTTTGTCTGATCCCTAGGAGTCAGGCACCTTAGTAGTAATGATAGTAGTCATATTTTTCTGGAGCAACTTTCTGGGAGATACCTGATAAGTATGCATGAATCAGAAAGACGAGTGGATGAATACTCTCTAACTCATGTTTATCACGAACAATAATTACTACATTTTACATATCCATTTTAGGATAATATATGCATGCATAAAAATAAACACATTTTCAGTTCAATGAATTCTTGTCAGAAGAATAATTTTGAGACTGTAAGCCAAGCTTTTGTCTATTATTAACCAAACGAGTTCATTAGGTGTCAGGGAAGAAGGCATCGAAGGTACATTTTGTAGAGATGATTTTATTACAATAAGTAGTTTTTCACAGTTGTTCAATGAGAACAGGAAAATAGCTTTGCATTATACCTGCAAGTATCTGTTTAGAAAAGTATAAAAAAGCTTATATGTGCAAAAGTTTCTGTTAAGAAGAACCAAAGTGATTGAAATTGGATTCTTTTTTGTATGGCACTGTGAACATCATATCATTCCTAGTAAAATGATAAACTTTGCAAGAGTAAGCTTTTTATTTTCCTTATAACGATCTTGAAACTGAAATCACATCTCGAACTTCACATGCATATCAAACTTTCTCTTTGAAACAGTTAGTGAGGCTTTTTGTCCTATTCTTGGGAATGATTAATGCAGTTCAGCTCTCTCTCCCTAAATTTGCCACAGTGTTTTTACATGGTGGAATAAAAAAATTGCAATAACAGGGAATAATAAAACTAAGTTACATTTTTACTAATCATTTATCATGAAAAATGTTTTCTTTTGTCATATACATTAGATAAACATTCTACTAAATAAGTAAACCTATTCTCCCTTACCTAAAGTGAGATATTGCTATTTGTTTAGGATGATATGATTGCTCGTAATCAACTCCTAAGCATATGTGTATACATATAACTCCTCATATCATAGTGTTTCTTCAGATTTATTTTCTTCGATGTTTCTCTTTTAATTTTTAAGCATATGCAGTATGTCTAAATCACTGTTTATTTAGAAGTTCTTTAGGGTTATAAATCTATAGATAACTTAGATCAGAACTCTAATTCATGTAGTAAAACACCTTTATTTTTATAATCTAAATGATACCCCCAGGCATGTTTATGAATAATAAGTTGATAATTTGCCATCAGCATCTCTAGCTCTTCAGCTGTCTTCCTGAGTGGTCTGATCCCTTCCCCATTCCTACTCCTGTGTTGCGTACTCCAAATCTCATGAATGTAGGAATGTTGGCAGAAGATGGCATAGCAGATTGGGCAGGTTGCCAGTACAGCTATAAATGGAGATGACCAAAGTGAAGGAGGAGTAGAAGTAGGTGAGTGGCAATCAAACAATATTGCGTCGATCCTAAAGTGTAGAGGGCAGGTGAGGGGGAGGGTATGGATTTGAAATGCAAAGAACCCTTCAGTTGGCTTCATAAACTCTAAAAACCAGTTTGTCAGAAAATGTATACTTGTTCTGGCAGAAAACTGCTTTCCAAGTGCAAGCTTTACAAAACCATTCATCAGACGGTAGAGTTCAATGAATGGAAGGAGGGGCAGAGCAGTGGCAGAAAGTGTCAGGCCACAAAGGCTGACCTGAAAAGTCCTTTGATATACCTACTGCTAGTGGTGTTGCAGAAGCAGGTGATGGCAAGGCACTGGAAGTTGAAGTCAGAGAAATTTACTTTATTTTATTGTGGTAAGAACACTTAACATGAGATCTACCCTTTTAAATTTTTAAGTGTACCATACAAACAGGAACCCTTGCATGCCGGTATAGCCACTATGGAAAACAGTTTAAAGATCCTTAAAAATTAAAAATATAACTATATGATTTAGCGATTCCACTTCTGAACATTTATCTAAAAGAATTAAAATCAAGATTTCAAAGAAATATTGGCACTCCTATTTTCATTACAGCACTATTCCAAATAGTCAGGATGTAGTAATCAAAGGAATTTTTAAATGGAAGTGTGATTGGGAGTGTGGCGCCCACTTATAGGAGAGTTTTAAGTAAGCACAGCATGGTACCAGCTGAGTAGCATGCTGGGAGGGAAGGGGCTGAGTTGAGGTTTGAGGGGATTTCAACAGGAAAGAAGGCAGTGATGAGAACTGGAATGTCAGTTCAAGAAGTACAGTAAATATTACACGTTAAGTTTGGATGGAAGTGTGACAAATGCAAACTAGTCTCAAACTAAAGGAGAAATTCAAGGCTGCAGGTCGTAATCTGGGAGAACAGGTGCTAGGTAAAGTGTAGGGGTACAGGGAAGACATAGTGGAAGCATCAAGCACATTAAGGCATCTTGGGGAAAATTAGGCAGAGAATAATGAAAAAGTGTCTAGCCCATGTGAACAAGATTGATGAGAATGAAGTGGGGGAAATGACTAGGGCATAGGGCATGTCACCTGTAGCTTGAGTTGTGTAGGCAGTGAATGGCTCTACTGCTTCTTAGAGCCTTTGGGACACTTGGAAATTTATCTCTGGTATCTGGAGCTTCTAAGATCCTTTCCCAGACAAAGCCCAATAGTAGTTTTGCTCATTAGTGGCAGGGTTGGCTGAATTGTGTACAGATATTTAGTGTTCAAGGCAAATAACAGATGGAAATGGCTTAGATTAAAAGACTATATCCTGCACAGGCAACATTACTGCTCTTAAATACTTAGGTAAACACAGCTTAGTGAACTACTCTCAAGTGAACATTTTAGAGTTGACCCTGCTGTTTTCCTTTTGTAACCCTAATTTGTGCTAGTACAGGTATTATGAAGTCACAAAATTATAAAACTAAAACATTTACTGAGAAAATATACTACCATGTGATAATTGTGGCTAAGGAGCAAACAGCCTGGGTTTTCTCTGTTTGATTCAATCAGTACTGTCCAAGGCCTCTCAATGTCCAGGCAATTATACGGAGCAGAAACACCATAATTCTTGTTCCACCTGAGGCACATAAGATTGAAGGTAACAATATTTTGTATTGGGGAAACGTCAAACCAAAAATGACACAAA
Source organism: Homo sapiens (assembly GCF_000001405.40). Taxonomy (NCBI): domain Eukaryota; kingdom Metazoa; phylum Chordata; class Mammalia; order Primates; family Hominidae; genus Homo; species Homo sapiens. The sequence continues at coordinate 104,255,314 of NC_000006.12, read as the reverse complement.
ACTATTACTATTGAAACAATTAAAAATTCACTTAAATACCATGAATAAACAAAATCTTCTAAATTCTAGTTGTCCCCATGGTATATGTCAATATTTATATGGATAAAGTAGAGAATACTAGCAAAGGAATTATTCTTCTTCACATTTCTGTATACTAGTGAATGGAGTTGTCATTAGTGTCACAGAAAAACATGATTCTCTGTTTGATTGTGCTCTGAAGAAGAGGAAAGGAAGGCCATGATGGAAACCAGAATACCAGTACTTGGAAAAATACTTCTTCTGATAAGACAGAGCTTTTCCTTTTCTTCATGGATGATTGTTCATTCTTTCTGGCTGCCCCAGAATTAACTTCGAAGTTCAGTGGGTACTTCTGGATGTTATTGCCTTAAATTTCCCAGGATCACTGTTTGCCCCTTTTCCTAAAAGACGACATTGACTCTCACAATTTCTTTTCTGGAAGAGTGAACTCATTTCACTGTGTGTAATTTATAGCCAGAGAATAGGTTAGCCATTGGAACTAAACACTCCCCTGTCTGGTGGACTCTGGTAGGAGCAGTTAAATTGTTTGGCTGTGCCCCCACCCAAATCTCACCTTGAATTGTAGTTCGCATAATCCCCATATGTCCTGGAAGGGACCTGGTGGGAGGTAATTGAATCATGGGGGCGTTACCTGCATGTTGTTCTCACGATAGCAAGTGAGTTCTCACGAGATCTGATGGTTTTATAAGGAGCTTTGCCCTTTGCTAGGCACTCATTCTCTCTCTTGCCACCGTGTGAAGAGGTACCTTCCACGATGGTTGTAGCCTTCCCAGTCACATGGAACTGTGAGTCAATTAAACCTCTTTTCTTGATAAATTATCCAGTCTTGGTTATTTCTTCATTGCAGCATGAGAATAAACATATACAAGCAGTTAACCTGGATTCAACAGACACTTCTCATTAATGCAGATCATCAGACCCCAGCATGCTGAAAGAAGGGCAAATGCCAAATGGGCCTTTTTAATTGATGGGCATGACTAAGTGCATCTTTAAGTAATTGCTTTTTGTTTACTTTGGTATTCCAGGTGCAGTCTGTTTTTTACCCAGTGGTTTCTCTTAGCTCCTTGTTTTTAATCTGCAGCAAATATATTCTTTGCTGATTGCTTTTGTTAAATATCCAAATTCTCACACATTTAACTTGTTAGGAACTTCACTTTTATGTCTCTGTTCTACTCCATGGCAAAGTCGATTCCCATGTGCTAACATTTTAAATCTGTGAAATATTAAATCTATCAGAATTTTGGAGATTTAATGTTTACTTACCGATGATATTTTAGTTGTATTATGTAAGTATATCCATCAATATTATTGTGATTGTATATACTACGTAGGTGTCAAAGAGTACAGAAACAAAAGATAATATATATTTTTTTAATTTGAGGGACAGTTTTTTGCAAAATGAGAATCATTTGTGAACCAAAGAAGAGAAGAGTATAATTTGATGGTAGAACCTTACACAAAGTTACCCCTAAGATCAGAAAGAGGAATTGTAAAGGCTGATTTCCACGGACCATGCCTGTTCAGTGATGTTGAAAAGATAACCAGAGTCTGTACATTAGATATTGCAAATATTCCACAAGTTCAGATATTTGAAAGGACTCTCCAGACTCAACAGAGCATACTCATGCAAGGGTTTTGTTTTTGTTTTTGTTTTGTTTTAATAGGAAAATAGTGCAGTGGGAGAAAGCGTGCAGACAGGCACTGGGAGTCTGGAGTCTGATGGATAACTAGCTCTAAGCTTTGCAGGGTTCTTATTTGCCCAAGGACACATTTTGTGTCCAGACTACCAAGTCTGTGTGAGGAGTCAGGGCATAAGTTCCCAGAGGGGGTGTTTATGACCCTCTGGTCATGTAGTCAAGCCAGGCTAACAAGTTACACCAGGTAAAAACTATCAGTAAACAAACTAGCCCTGGAGAGTCTCTAGGGTCATTTCGGACGTTAAACTGCACATCATAAATCTCACTGCATTCATCTTGGGCCAGTGGTCAAACTTGACATTCAGAGTCCCCAGAGATAAAGGTAGACTTTTCCCAGTTTAATTGTAAATTAACTGTGTCCTATACAGTTACTTAGCTGTTTTATGTTCCCCAAGAAGATACACTTGAATGTATATTTAATTCAATTAAGGCTGAATTATCACAGGGAAGAAAAGATAAATGTCCACAAAGTCCTATAGCAATAACTGAGCCAGAACTAGAACTTACATCTGCTGGATTTAATTTTAATATTTTCCCCACTAATCTCAACTGTAACTCCTCATAGTTTAGGACTCCTTTTAAGCATAAAACTGGTTATTTGTCAGTCATGCTGTCTGAGTCTGTTTTGTGTTGCCAAAACAGAATACCACACACTTGGTAATTTAGAAAGAAAAGACACTTATTTCTCCCAGTTCTAGAGGCTGGAAGTCCAATATCAAGGTGGCCAACATATGGTGAGGGCCTTTGTGCTGCATCATCTTATGGCAGAAGGCAGAAGTGCAAGAGAGAACAAGCTCAAGAGAGGGCCAGACTCTTTTATGAGGAGCCCACTCCCTTGATAACTCACTCCTGAGATAATGGGATTAATCTCTTATGACCTAATCACCTTGTTGCATTGGGGATAATTTTGAACACATGAACTTTGGGGGATACATTCAAACCCATAGCATTTGGGACCTTGGCTCCCAAAATTATGTCATTCTCACATGCAAAATATCTTCATTCCATCTCAGTAGCCCCAAACTCTTAACATATTCCAGCACCAGTTCAAAAGTTCAAAGTCTAGATTCTCATCTGAGTCAGATATGAGTGAGACTGAAGGCACAATTTATCCTGAGGCAAATTCCTTTGCAGTTATGGGCTTGTGAAATTAACAGGTGATATGCTTCCAAAATACTATGGTGAGATGGGTTTAAGATAGATATTCCTATTCTAAAAGGGAGAAATAGGCAAAACAAACAAACAAAAGGTATCTGGTCCCAAATCTAAAACCCAATGGGGAAAACAACATTATCACTTAACATTGGAGAATAATCTCCTTTGACTCCATGTGCTGCATACTGGGCACACTGGGGTGGGAGTTAGGCCCCTAAGGCCTTGGATAGACCTGCCCTATTGCTTTGCTAGGCTCAGTCCACCCAGCAGCTCTCATGAGTTGGAGTCTCATGCCTGCAGCTTTCTCAGGCTGGAGTTACAGGCTGGTAGATCTACAGTTTTGAGGTCTCTGAGGTAGCCTTGCTCCCTCTGTTACAGTAGACATTGCCCTAGTAGGGGCTCTCTATGGTGTCTCAACCCCTGTGACAAGTGGGGACTTGGGTCCCTAGGTTGTCACAACATCAAATCTAGGTGGAGGCCACCATAGCCCTAAAGCTTGTACACTCTTCGCTTCTGCAGTCAGCACATGTGGATCCTGCCCAAGGCCCACAGCTTGCTCCCTTGGGAACTGTGGCACAGGCCACAACTGGGCCCACTTGAATCCCAGATGGAACATCTTAGGAGCTCTGCCCTGGGATGTGGGGAGCCGAGCCCTGAGGTGGCCCTGGGTAGCAAATGCTGAGGTCACAATGGGTCCCTCTCTGAAAACCTTGTCCTCAAGGCCTTGCTCTGTGCCTGTGATGGAAAAGCAGCCTCAAGGATCTCTAAAATATCTATGGGGTCTTTCATAATCTCCTTAGCAAATGGTTTCTTGGCTAAACCCTTGGTTTGTTCTCCTAAACATGTTTGTTTTATTCTTTATATGGCCAGGCTGTGAATTTTTCAAATCTTTCCATTCTGCTTCTCTTTTAATTATAAATTCCACCTGCATCTTCCTATATGCAGTTAAATGTAGCCATAAGTCTCCTTCAATATTTTACTTAAAAATTCCCTTCACCAGATATCCTAGTTATGGCCCTTAAATTCCACCTTCCATAAAGCCCTTGGGCATGGACACAATTCAGCCAAATTCTTTTCGACTTTATGACAAGGATGGCCTTCCATCCAGTTTTCAAAACCTCATTTTCATCAGAGACCTCATCAGAATACACATTACTGTCCATTTTACCAGTAAATACTCTGATCACAATCACTTAAGTAATCCCTAAGAAGATTTAGGCTCTCCTTATAGCTCTTGTTTTCTTCTGAGCCTTCACCAGTATTGCCGTGAACACTCCCTTCACAACAATACAGTCTTTTCCCAGCCTGCTCCTCCAAACTCTTCCAGTCTCTATCCATGACCTGGTTTCAAAGCCACTTCCACACTTTGAAGTATTTGTTGTAGCAACAGCCCTGCTTCTTGGTACCAATTTTCTGTCTTACTCGTTTCTGTGTTGCTATAACTGAACACCACGGACTGTGGGTAATTCATAAAGAAAAGAAATTTATTTTTTAGAGTTCTGGAGGCTGGAAAGTCCAAGGTTGAGGGGCCTGCATCTGGCAAGGGTCTTATTGCTGCATCATCCATGGCGGAAGGTGCAAGAGTAAGAGAGCAGGCTCCAGAGAGAGAGAAAAGGCCAAATTCTGTTCTTCAGAACCTCGTACCAGAGATAATTAACCCTCTCCCTCAATAAAGGCATTAATCCATTCATGATGGCTGAGCCCTCATGACCTAATCACTTCTTAAAGGACCCCCTCTCAACAATACTTCTCTGGAGATTAAGTTTTGAACACATAAACTTTAGCGAATACATTTAAGCCATAGCACATATCTATGTTGTGGAAACCAGGAAACCTTCAACCACTACTATACTCAAGGATGTAAAATGTCATTTACAGAACAAAACATATATTACTTTAAAAAATAAATAGTACCATATTCATATTAGTAAAATGCAGTATCTTATTAGTAATTTTTATTAGTAAAAATTTTGTCATTAAAGTAACTCCGAAAATTCAAGAGGTAATAACTATTTTCCTCAACAAATAATGATCAATATAGCTTTTATTTAGATTTTCCAAAGCTTAACATTTAGCCCTATCAAAATTATAAAAAGGTATGCGTTTTAAAAGAAACATAACAGAAGGAGATAATAGAGTAATACAATTATATTTTGTACCACACACTGTAAGAAAGCAAATGTCTTCTATTCTTGATATATTCTATATATATATAAATATAGATCTATTCTCTCTGTGTGTATATATATATATAAATATACATATTTATATGCCTGATTTGGAGATGGAGTTCTTTGAGCATTTTAGTTTTCTCTAGAACCTGAGAAGTAAACTCTTAGAAGTGTCATGCTATGAGAAACAAGACCTTGCACAAATCTGTGAAATATTTCTGAAAGACAAAATGGTTTATTTTTAGTAAGGAGAGGTTTTTTATTGAGATATAACCTTGAAGACAAGGAGGGAGAGCAAAATCAACTGCCTAGAATAGTTATCATCAACACGTGTATTTGAGATAATCACATAAGCATTTTTACTTCTGATTATGTTGCTTTTCCATCTCCTGCTCAGCTTTTTCTGGACAAGCAAATAAATGATCAATTTAGAATCACATTACATTCAAAATGGACAAGATTGTGAGATCATGTTTGAACCCGCAGTCCAGTGGAGAGGATTCAAACTTCCACTGAGAGCCTACTGAAAATATAATAACCATTTCTACAAAGGCATATGTTTCTTGGATTGATCTGGAGAGCAAGTCAATAACTCAGAGAAAAGGCACATGGTAAGAGAAGACAAGGGGACAAAATGATTGTCTGAAATTTATAGATAATACCTGACAACTCCAAAATGGTTGAGTGCATTTTCACAATGCTGGTCAGGCCAGATCTTCAGCCAAGTCATAATTCTGGAACCGTCCATCTTGGTGATGAGAGAGGGCTGGATTACTGAAGATAAGTCAGCTCTTCTAAGAGCCTAGTCACTTGTATATTTGTGTCTTGGGCTAAAGAAACATAGCCTATATAATTTGCATTTGTGTGAAAGTAAAGGTTGCTATTCTGTGGAATGAAATAATAGCAGGACCCTCTTGTCCTGCTAATTTATTCAAACTACTCTAATGATGCTGTCGGCTTTAATGTTATTTGCTGCTGCTCGTGAACTCTTTTCTAACTGTATTACCTGAAAGAAAATCGCTGCTAAGATGATTTTGCGTAATGATCCTAGATCTTTGCGGTACTTTTCTATTGAAATTAGGTTTATATTTTTCTTCTTTTGTTCATGTTTTATACTATGAATTAAACACATAGATTCATGAATTTTCATATGTTAGACATGAGAGATTCTGAACTGGTAGACAGCATAGAATCATTTTTTTTTTAACTTTTATTTTCAGTTCAGGAGTACATGTGCAGGTTTGCTATATAAATATATGGGGGTTTGGTATACAAACTATTTTGTCACCCAGGTAATAAGCATAGTGCCTGATAGGTATTATTTCTGATCCTCTAGCATCAGGCAAAGGTCTTATTGCTGCATCATCCATGGTGGAAAGTGGAAGAGTAAGAGAGCCTCTCACCCTCCACACTCAAGTAGACTCTGATATCTATTGTTCCCCTCTTTGTGTCCATGTGTTCTCATTGTTTAGTTCCCACTTATAAGTGAGAAGATGCAGTATATTGTTTTCTGTTTCTGCATTAGTTTGCTTGGGATAATGTTCCTCAAGCTCCATCCATGTTGTGGCAGAGGACATCATCTCGTTTGTGTTTATGGCTGCATGGGATTCCATGGTGTATATGTGCCATATTTTCCTTCTCTAGTCTACTGTTTATGGGCATTTAGGCTCATTCCGTGTCTTTGCTGTTGTGAATAGTGCTGTGATGAACATGCATGTGCATATGTCTTTATGATAGAACAATTGATATTCCTTTGGATATCTGCCCAATAATGAGATTACTGGGTCAAATGGCAATTCTTTTTTAAGTTCTTTGAGGAATTGTCACACCGCTTTCCACAATGGCTGAACTAATTTACACTCCCACCAGCAGTGTATAAGCACTCTTTTTTTGCTGCAATCTCACCAGCATCTGTTATTTTTTGACTTTATTATAATAGTCATTCTGACTGATGTAAGGTATCTCATTGTGGTTTTGATTTGCGTTTCTCTGATTAATGATGTTCAGCATTTTTTCATATGCTTGTTGGATGCATGTAAGTCTTCTTTTGAAAGTTGTTCATGTTCTTTGCCCACTTCGTGATGGGGTTGTTTGTTTTTTTGCTTGTAAATGTGTTTAAGTTCTACATATATTCTGGATATTAGACCTTTGTTGGATGAATAGTTAGCAAATATTTCCCCCCAATCTGTAGGTTGTTTACTCTATTGATAGTTTATTTTGCTGTGGAAAAGCTCTTTAGTATAATTAGGTCCCATTTGTCAATTTTTGTTTTTGTTGCAATTGCTTTTCCCATTTTCATCATGAAATCTTTGCCAGGTCCTATGTCCAGAATGATATTTCCTAAGTTATCTTCCAGAGATTTTATAATTTTAGGTTTTACCTTTAAGTCTTTAATCCATCTTGAGTTGGTTTTTGTAAATGGTGTAAGGAAGTGGTCCAGTTTCAATCTTCTGCAAATGGCTAGCCAGTTTTTCCAGCTCCATTTACTAAATAGGGGGTTCTTTTCCCATTTCTTGTTTTTGTCAGCTTTGTCAAAGATCACATGGCTGTAGGTGTGCAGCATTATATCTGGACTCTCTATTCTGTTCTATTGGTCTATATGTCTGTTTTTGTACCAGACCCATGCTGTTTTGGTTACTGTAGCCTTGCAGTATAGTTCGTAGTTGGGTAACGTGATGCCTCCAGCTTTACTCTTTTTGCTTAGGATTGCCTTGACTATTCAGGCTGTTTTTTAGTTCCATATGAATTTTAAAATAGTTTTTTCTAATTCTGTGAAGAATGTCATTGGTATTTTGATATAGCATTAAATATCATTGAATCTGTAAATTGTTTTGGATAGTATGCCATTTTAACAATATTGATTCTTCTTATCCACAAGCATGGGATGTTTTCTATTTGTGTCATCTCTGATTTCTTTTTTTTGTTATTATACTTTAAGTTCTAGGGTATATGTGCACAACGTGCAGGTTTGTTACATATGTATACATGTGCCATGTTGGTTTGCTGCACCCATTAACTTGTCATTTACATTAGGTATTTCTTCTAATCCTATCCCTCTCCCATGCCTCCACCCCACAACAGGCCCTGGTGTGTGATGTTCCCCACCCTGTGTCCAAGTGTTCTCATTGTTCAATTCCCACCTATGAGTGAGATGTTTGCTTTTCTGTCCTTGTGATAGTTTGCTCAGAATGATAGTTTCTAGCTTCATCCATGTCCCTACAAAGGACATGAACTCATCCTTTTTTATGGCTACATAGTATTCCATGGTGTATATGTGCCACATTTTCTTAATCCAGTCTATCATTGATGAACATTTGGGTTGGTTCCAAGTCTTTGCTACTGTGAATAGTGCCACAATAAACATACGTGTGCATGTGTCTTTATAGTAGCATGATTTATAATCCTTTGGGTATATACCCAGTAATGGGATGGCTGGGTCAAATGGTATTTCTAGTTCTAGATCATTGAGGAATTGCCACACCGACTTCCACAATGGTTGAGCTAGTTTACACTCCCACCAACAGTGTAAAAGCATTCCTATTTCTCCACATCCTCTCCAGCACCTGTTATTTCCTGACTTTTTAATGATTGCCATTCTAACTGGTGTGAGATGGCATCTCATCGTGGTTTGATTTGCATTTCTCTGATGGCCAGTGATGGTGAGCATTTTTTCATGTGTCTTTTGGATGCATAAATTCTTCTTTTGAGAAGTGTCTGTTCATCTCCTTCGCCCACTTGTTGATGGGGTTGTTTGTTTTTTCTTGTAAATTTGTTTGAGTTCATTGTAGATTCTGGATAGTAGCCCTTTTTCAGATGAGTAGATTGCAAAAATTTTCTCCCATTCTGTACGTTGCCTGTTCACTCTGATGGTAGTTTCTTTTGCTGTGCAGAAGCTCTTTAGTTTAATTAGATCCCATTTGTCAATTTTGGCTTCTGTTGCCATTGCTTTTGGTGTTTTAGACATGAAGTCCTTGCCCATGCCTATGTCCTGAATGGTATTGCCTAGGTTTTCTTCTAGGGTTTTTATGGTTTTAGGTCTAACATTTAAGTCTTTAATCCATCTTGAATTAATTTATGTATAAGGTGTAAGGAAGGGATCCAGTTTCAGCTTTCTCCATATGGCTAGCCAGTTTTCCCAGCACCATTTGTTAAATAGGGAATCCTTTCCCCATTTCTTATTCTTGTCAGGTTTGTCAAAGATCAAATGGTTGTAGGTATGTGGTGTTATTTCTGAGGGCTCTGTTCTGTTCCATTGGTCTATATCTCTGTTTTGGTACCAGTACCATGCTGTTTTGGTTACTCTACACTAGTAGTATAGTTTGAAGTCAGGTAGCATGATGCCTCCAGCTTTGTTCTTTTGCTTAGGATTGTCTTGGCAATTCAGGCTCTTTTTTGGTTCCATATGAACTTTACAGTTTTTTCCAATTCTGTGAAGAAAGTCATTGGTAGCTTAATGGGGATGGCATTGAATCTATAAATTACCTTGGGCAGTATGGCCATTTTCATGATATTGATTCTTCCTATCCATGAGCATGGAATGTTCTTCCATTTGTTTGTTTCTTTGAGCAATGTTTTGTAGTTCTCATTGTAGAGATAGTTCACCTCCCTGGTTAGCTGTATTCCTAGGTGTTTTATTCTTTTTGTGTCTATTTTGAGTGAGATTGCATTCCTGATTTGACTCTCAGCTTGGATATTTTTGGTGTATAAAAATGCTATAGATTTTGTACATTTACTTTGTATCATGAAACTTTGCTGAATATGTTTATCAGATCAATGAGCTTTTGGGCAGAGACTATGGTATTTTTCTCAATACAGAATCATGTCATCTGCAAACCGTGATGGCTTGACTTCCTGTCATCCTATTTAGAGGCCTTTTATTTTTTTCTTTTGTCTGATTGCACTGGCCAGGACTTCCAGTACTATGTTGAATAGGAGTGATGAGAGAGGATATCTTTGTCTTATTCCGGTGTTCAAGGGGAATGCTTCTAGCTTTTGCTCATTCAGCATGATGTTGGCTGTGGGTTTATCATAGATGGCTCTTATTATTTTGAATTATGTTTCTTCAATGCCTAGTTTATTAAGAGCTATTAACATGAAGGGATGTCAAATTTTATCAAAAGCTTTTTCTGCATCTAATGAGATGGTCATGGGTGGTTTTTTTGTTTTAGTTTTGTTTATGTGATCAATCACATTTATTTATTTGTGTATGTGCAACCAACCTTGCATCCTAGGGAAAAGGATATGGCCTACTTGGTCAAGGTGAATTAGCTTTTTGATGTGCTGCTAGATTCGATTTGCTAGTATTGTGTTGAGGATTTTTACATCAATATTCATCAAGAATATTGGCCTGAAGTTTTCTTTTCTTTTTTTTTTTTCTTGTGTCTCTGCCAGATTTTGGTATGAAGCTGATGCTGGCCTCATAGAATGAATTATAGATGATCTCCCCTCCTTAAGGTTTTGGAGTAGTTTCAATAGGAATGGAAGCAGCTTTTTTTTTTTTTTTTTTCATGTATCTGGTAGAATTCAGCTGTGAATCTGAGTGGTTTTACTTCTTGGAAGGCTTTTTACTACTGATTAAATTTCAGAACTCATTATTGGTCTGTTCAGGGATTCAGTTTCTTCCTGGTTCAGTCTTGGGAGGTTGTATGTGTCGAAGAATTTATCTGTTTCTTCTATATTTTCTAGTTTGTATGCACAGAGGTGTTCATAGTAGTCTCTGAAGGTTTTTAGTATTTCTGTAGGGTCAATGATAATGTACCCTTTGTCATTTCTAACTGGGTTTACTTGGATCTTCTGTCTTTTTTTCTTTAGTAAGTTAGACTGCAAACTAGACTAACAATTTTTTTCAAATAACCTATTTCTAGATTCATTGATCTTTTGTACAGCTTTTTGCACCGCCGTTTCCTTAAATTCTGCTCTGATTTTGGTTATTTCTCATCTTCTGCTAGCTTTGGGGTTGGTTTTTCTTATTCCTCTAGTTGTTATGTTAGGTTGTTAATTTGAGATCATTCTAACTTTCTGATGTGGACACATAGTGCTACAAACTTCCCTCTTAACACTGACTTAATTGTATCTTAGAGGTTCTGGCATTTTGTATCTTTATTCTCTTTAGTTTCAAGGCATTTCTTGATTTCTGCCTTAATTACATTACTTATGCAAAAGTCACTCAGGAATAGGTTAATTTCCAGGTAATTGTATGGTTTTGAGCTATTTTCTTTGTATTGATTTCTATTTTTATTGTGCTGTGGTCCAAGAGTGTGGTTGGTATGATTTTGATTTTGTTGAATTTGCTGAGGACTGTTGTATGTCCAACAGCATGGTTGATTTTAGAGTATGTGCCATGTGGCAATGAGAAGATTGTATTGTTTTTGGGTGGGGAGTTCTATAGGTGTCTATTAGGTTCATTTGGTCTAATGTTGAGTTCAGGTCCTAAATATCTTTAATTTTCTGCCTCAATTATCTGCCTAATACTGTCACTGTAATGTTGAAATCTCCCATTATTATTGTGTGGTTATCTAAGTCTCTTACTAGGTCTCTGAGAACTCACTTTATGAAGTTGAGTGCTCATGTGTTGGGTGCATATACCTTTAGGAGCGTTAGGTCTTCTTGTTGAGTTGTACCTTTTACCATTTTCTAAGGCCCTTGTTTGTCTTTTTTGATCTTTGTTGGTTTAAAGTATATTTTGTCTGAAATTAGAATAGCAATTGTTCTTTGCTTGGTAGATTTTTCTCCCACCTTGTACATTGAGCCTATGGGTGTTATTACATATGAGATGAATCTCTTGAAGACAACATGCCATTGGATCTTGCTTCTTTCTCCAGTCTGGCACTCCGTGTGTTTTAATTGGGGCATTTAGCCCATTTACATTCAAGGTTAGTATTCATATGTGTTAATTTGATCCTGTTATCCTGTTGTAAGCCGGTTATTTTGCAGGCTTGTTTGTGGGGTTGCTTTATAATGTCAATGGTCTATGTCCTTAAGTGTGTTTTTGCAGTGACCAATAATTGTCTTTCCTTTCCATATTTAGCACTCCCTTCAGGACCTCCTGTGAGGCAGGTCTGATGGTGACAAATTCCCTAAGCATTTGTTTGTCTGAAAAGGGTCTTATTTCTCCTTCACTTGTGAAGCTTAGTTTGGCTGAATATAAAATTCTTGGCTGGATATTCTTTCCTTTAAGAATACTGAATATAGTCCCCAATCTCTTTTGGGTTATAGGGTTTCTGCTGAAAGGTCTCCTGTTAGCCTGATGGGGTTCCCTTTGTAGATGTCCTAACTCTTCTCTCTAGCTTCCTGTAACATTTTTTCTTTCATGTTGACCTTGGAAAATCTGATGATTGTATATTTTGGGGATGATTTTCTTGTGTAGTGTCTCACAGGGGTTCTCAGCATTTCCTGAATTTGAATGTTGGCCTCACTAGTGAGGCTGGAGAAGCTTTCATGGATGATATCCTGAAATATGTTGTTTAAGTTTCTTGCTTTTTCCCTGTCTCTTTCAGGGATGTCAGTGAATTGTAGATTTGATCTCTTTATATAATCCTGTATTTCTCAGAGGTTTTGTTTGTTCTTTTAAAAATTTTTTCTTTACTTTTGTCTGATTTATTTCTAGAATAGTTTTTTTTGGCCACTTGAAAAATTCTTTCAGTTTGTTGCCAAGATTTAAACATTGGAAGACTTAAGAATATGCTTGTCTTTTAAAAAAATATAATTCCAACTTTGATTTTAGATTCAGGGGGTACATGTGCAAGTTTGTTACCTGGGTATATTGTGGGATGCTGAGATTTGGGGTATGATTGATCCTGTCGCCTAGGAACTGAGCATAGTTCCTAATAGTTTTTCAATTCTTATCTTCCTCATTTTCTGACTCCTCCTGAAGATTCAAGCATCCTGGTAGCAACAGTGTCATATTTCTGCATGGTCACTCTCAGCCATTGTTGTATAGCTATTTTCTCCTATAGACTTGGCTGTCGTACTTCACTTTGTCTCAGATCCTTCCTGAGCAACTCCAATATGCATAGCATACTCCTGATCTCTGTGGACACTAGTACAGATAATCAGAAGCAGCTCAGGTATTTTAGAACACCTTAATTACATTAAATTTTCTTTTCTTTTTTTTTTTTTTTAGGTGGAGGCTCGCTCTGTCATCCAGGCTGGAGTGCGGTGGCTCAATCTTGGCTCACTGCAACCTCCACCTCCCGGGGCCAAGTGATTCTCCTGTGTCAGCCTCCCGAGTAGCTGGGACTACAGATGTATGCCACCACACCCGGCTAATTTTTTGGATTTTTAGTAGAGACAGGGTTTCACCTTGTTAGCCAGGATGGTCTCAATTGCCTGACCTCATAAAATGCCTGCCTTGAACTCCCAAAGTACGGGGATTATAGGTGTGAGCCACTGTGCCCGGCTGGGATTAAGTTATTCTATAAAATTTAGTTCTTTTATATAAACTAAAACAGATTTACCAGCAAAACCCACATAAAGATTATTTTAAAAAGTTACAGATAGTTAGGCATTCATACTGAGTTTACATTCTTTCCATTCTAAATGCCCAAGTTCTGTCCTAGTCACTGCAGCATCTCTCTAATGAAGGAGTAGTCCATGAATTGCAGTATCTGTATTCCATTCCAACCTGAATATTTATTTTCTGAGCTACTATGTAAAATTTGAAGAGTATGTTACAAACTTTCTACTACCTCATGTATGTATGATAAGTGTGTCGGGGTCCTCAAGACCGTCCTGAGGTCTGGTGATTTATTAGGATGGCCCACAGGACTTAGCATATGGTTATACTCAATGGTTAAGATTTATTATGGCAAAAAGAGACAGAACTGCAAAGGAAAAAGACTACATGGGGCAAAGTCCAGACAAAACCAGTGTAAGCATCCAAGAGTCCTCACCCCATGGAGTCACACAGGACATGCTTAATTCTTCTAGCATCAGATTATCACAATACACGTGAAATGTTGTTTATTAGGAAAGCTCATTAGACATTCAAGCCTCAGAATTTTTACTTCCCAGTGGTCACATAGACACCCTCTACATGCCAAACTTCTAGAATCCCAGAAGAAAAGCGAGCATTCAACATAAACCTCATTGTTTGCACACATAGTCCAGATACATTAAATATGCTTAGCAGTTAGGGAATCGTGAGAACACACCTGAAACTCAGCTTCCCAGATGCTAGTCAATGGCCAACCTCCTAAGCAGGCCCTTCTAAAGAGAGCTGTCAGGCCTGCTATGTTAACCTTTTTCTGGAAGAACAAAGACTAAGTTATTCTTTTCTTACTTATCTTTGGCCAGGTATTTTTTTTAACTGAATAATAGAGAACCTACCCAGTTAGGAATTCTGGTCTGTTTTCTTTGATAAAGAGCTAGCTGTGAACATAGTATTTGAGGTAAAGCCTATCGTTTATCTCTGAGAGCTCTAATAATCATTAAACAGAGAGACACATCTCAGGCTGTACTGTTTGATGAATTTATTTACTTCATTCACTCAACTCATATTATGCATAAGGTCATTGAAATATAAGATCTCTGCTTTTATGGAAAGGATAGCTTACGCTGAGGAGAGAAACATAAAGCCAAAGAATTAATGTGTAAAATATATAGTATGTTAGAAGATAATGATAGGAAAAATAGAGCAGTTTAGGTGTGCATCTTTGCTATGTTTATTTATAGAAGTTATATTTATATTCTAGATACGAATCTGTGGTATGCAGGTTAAGGGCCTCCAAAAATATTCAGATTCAAATCCCTGGTACCTGTAAATATGTTACCTCACATGACAAAATAGACTTTGAAGACTGGATTAAGGTTAAGGACCTTGAGAATAGACTTTGAAGACTGGATTAAGGTTAAGGACCTTGAGAATAGACTTTGAAGACTGGATTAAGGTTAAGGACCTTGAGAACAGACTTTGAAGATTGGATTAAGGTTAAGGGCCTTGAGATGGAGGTTATCTAGGGGCTCAATCTAATCATGAATCCTTCAGAGTAGAAGAAGAATGCAGAAGAGGGCCCCAGAGAGACGTGATGTGAGAAGTGCTTGACTCACCGTTGCTGGCTTTGAAGATAGAGGAAGGGTCCATGAGTCAAGAAATATGGCAGCATTTAGAAACTCGGAATGGTCTCAGTTGACAGCCAGCATAGTAATAGGGACTTTGATCCTACAACTGCAAGCAACTGAATTTGCCAACCACCTGATGAGCAACAAAATGAATTCCACCGCACTTCGAGGCCCCAGAAAGAAATGCAGCCTTGCTAACACCTTGATTTTAGCACAGTGAGACTCATGAATGAATCTTGTCCTGACCTGCAGGGCTGTAAGATAATAAATGTCTGTTGTTAAACTGTTAAGTTTTTGGTGATTTATTTTGGTAGCAAAAGAAAGCTAATAATCCTTTGTCATATATGTTTATTGCAAACATCTCCCACTCTGTGCCTTGGTTTTTCACTCTTTTAATGCTATGATTTTAAGAGTTCTTAATTTTTAAGTAGTCTAATTATGGTTAGAGTTTTCTTGTCCTGTTTAAGAAATCTTTGTTGGGCCAGGCATGGCAGCTCATGCCTGTAATCCCTGTGCTTTGGGAGGCTAAAGATGGAGGATTTCTGGAGGCCAGGTTTGAGCAACATAGTGAGACCCCCATCTCCACAAAATTTTTTTTAAAAATCAGCTAGGTGTGGCTGGGCATGGTGGCTCACGCCTGTAATCCCAGCACTTTGGGAGGCCAAGGTGGGTGGATCATGAGGTCAGGAGATCGAGACCATCCTGGCTAACACAGTGAAACCCCATCTCTACTAAAAATACAAAAAATTAGCCAGGCGTGGTGGCGGGCACCTGTAGTCCCAGCTGCTCAGGAGGCTGAGGCAGGAGAATGGCGTGAACCCAGGAGGCAGAGCTTGCAGTGAGCTGAGATCGTGCTGCTGCACTCCAGCCTGACAGAGCAAGACAGAGCAAGACTCTGTATCAAAAAGGAAATAAAAAATCAGCTAGGTGTGATGGTATGTGCCTGTCATCCTAGCTACTCAGGAGGCTGAGGTGAGAGAATAGCTTGAGACTGGGAGTTTGAGGCTGCAGTGAGCCACTGTCCTTCAGCCTGGGTGACAGAGCGAGACCTTGTCTCTAAAACTCTAAAAAAACAAAACAGAAATAAA
This sequence comes from Homo sapiens, assembly GCF_000001405.40. Classification (NCBI taxonomy): domain Eukaryota; kingdom Metazoa; phylum Chordata; class Mammalia; order Primates; family Hominidae; genus Homo; species Homo sapiens. Next base: position 104,239,105 of record NC_000006.12, on the reverse strand, counting down.
TGTTTGCCTACCTCAAGGTCATAAAAATATTATGTTTTCTTCTAATATATGTATTGTTTTAACTGTTGTATTTAGTTAACAGTCTATCTGGAATTGAATTTTTGCTTCTGGACTGAAGTAAGGGTCAAGGTTCATCGTTTTCTTTGATGGATATCTAACTGAGAGAGGGGAAAGTTGCTGGAGTATGTTCTTGTGTTGGTAAGATGGCGTGGGATCTAGCAAACCTTTCTCTTTTCTCCTACATGCAACACCATTTATTAAAAATGTTATTTTTTCCAAACAGTACTGTTTTGTCACATTTGTCATGAACCAGATGATATGTTTAGGTCTGTTTCTAGGTTCTTTATTCTGGTCCACCGGTCCATTATTTTATACCTACACAAATACCTCATTTTTTCAGTTTACAATGAATACACTTTTCTGGTTGTTTAAGCATTTGGCTTCTCTCTCTTTCCTAAAGATCTTCCAGGCTATTCTTTGCTCTTTGCATTTCTATGTAAATTTCCACAGAAAAATTGCTTGCATTTTGATTGAAATTACGTTGAACCTGAAGACTGATTTGGGAAAAATTGGTATCTTTACAGTGTCCATGAGCATGATATATGCTTGCATTTTTTTAGGTCATCTTTAATTTCTCTCAAATTCTTTAGCTTTTATTGTATAAAGCTTACAATGTTTCATTAATTCATTCCTAGGTATATGATGATTTTGAGACATATAAAGAATTTTTATAAAACATTATCTATCTTTGTTATATAAAAGAGCATTTTTCATAATGACTTTTTATCAAGTGTCTTTGCAAAGTTTACTTACTATTTCTACTAGTTTGTTTATAGACATAATCATGTTGTATGCGAATAATGATATGGTTGCCTCTTCCTTTCCAGTCCTTTACAACTTTATCTTGACTAATAGCATTGGCAAGAGCATTCACACAAAATAGAAAGTATAGCTAAAGTTTTTAGATTTTTGAAATTATGTTTATGAGAGATGTTAGCTTATAATTTTTGTAATGTCTTTTTAAGAAAGGTTTTTGATAGATTTTCAATTTCTTCCTCTTAGCTTTGATAAGATGTTTTTCAAGGAATTATTTTACTTAGTTGCTCAATTAATTTAATTTCGACATAAAGTCACACATAATATCTTATTTTAATGTCTGAAGATGTGTACCAGTTCACTCCTAAGGATGGTAATTTGGGTCTTCTCTTTTATCATCTAGTCTTCCTAAGGCTTTAACGTTTTTATCATTCTTTTCAAAATTAGTTTTAGTTTTTGGCAGTTTTTTTTCTGATTGCTTGCTTATTTTCTGGCTATATTTTCAAGATACAACAATACCACCAAAGACAACAACTTTCCTGACAGATTGGCTGTGGGCTGTGGGAAGATGACTGTAAGGCTTCTGGCCTGGGCATCTTAATGGTTGGCATTGCCATAAACTGTGATAGGGATGGTGGGGGGGGGAAGCAGGTGATAGGTAGACATGTAAAAATTCAGTTTTGGATATATTTGGTTTGAGAAGTCAGTTAGACTTTTAAGAGGATATGTTGAGTAGACAGCTGGATATATGACAGTGGAATATGGAGAAGTGTCTGGACCAGAGATACAAAGGTGAGAGTTATCCTCATAGAAATAGTGTTTAAGACCAGGGGAGTAAGTGACCTCTCTAATGGAGTGAGTATAAAATGAGAAGAAAAGATCAAAATCTAGGTCCTGCAGTATTCCAAAATTATGAGGTTTGTGGGGATGAAATAAAACAAGTGAAGGAAACTGGTGAGGATCAATGTGGGAGACGTTTTTTAACCCAAGTTAAGAAAGTGTGTAAAGAAGGAAGAGATCACATTTATCAAATTTGTTGTTGTGTGGAATAACATGAGAACTGAGAACTGACTATTAGAGTTAGCAACATGGAGATCATTGAATAACTTTACAAAGAGCAGTTTTAGTGGAGAGGTAGATGGCAAAAGCCAGGTTGAAGCATGGAAAAAGGAAGCAAATGGAACTGGAGACATTGAGTGCCGACAATTTTTGAGGTGTTTTGCTCCATGGAGAGACTAAGAAATGGGGGAGTGCTACTGGTGGTAGTTGGGTTAAGAGAAATATTTTTAAGATAGGAGAAATAACAGTGTATGTGCAAGGGAATGATCAAGTAGAAAGAAAAAATGTTTGATGCAGTGGAGAGAAGAGGAGGAAACTTGCTGGAATATGTTAATTGTGTTGGTAATAGCATGGGATCTAGCCCTTCTCCCCCTTCTTTCCTGCATTCATTCATAGTGTGCAGTAAAAGTCCTTATAACTGTGTCTATAACATAGATTTGCTTGCACAATGCCTTTATAAAATGATTAATAATAGTGTATACTGAAGATCTTGTAATATACATTTTTTAATAAAAATACTTTAAAATCCTACTTTTTTTCATCAGTAACATTAAAATTTAGAGTATGGAATAAACCAAGGGATAAATGAAATAAATACCTGAGCAGCAAATGTATAATACTAAGTTCAAGTATTTTAGAATACCTTCATGCCATGACCCAAGTTATTTTGTATAAACTAAGGAAATAGATTTATCAGCAAAACACAATGTCGGTAGGGAAAAGCAGTAGATATCAACAGAGGAACTAGACACAACAAATTTTGGAAAATCAGACAAGTTCTTCTATGTAGACTCATGATACATAATTTACATAAGAGACATTACCATATTAATTTGGGCTAATACAGTATAGCAGCAAATATCTATATATACCTCGAGGACTTCTGAAGGTGTTATACTTTGCCACAGTTCAATAATTGTTCCCAATGAGATCAAGTCCTTTTTTCAATATATGATAGTGTTCAATGGAAAATTTTCAATTAAATATTTGTAGAAAACCTTAAAAACATATTTGTGCCTAAGTGACTTAAGAGCAGTGATCCGGAAACATGCTTAAGAATTTAGTTGACAAACTTTATTTTCTGTCATTTCTGATAAATGGAGCATTAATGCCTGCATACAGATGAAGGTATCAAGTGCTGACCATCTCTAACATAACTAGACAAGCATATCCCAAGATGTGTTCTTTAAAAACATTGAAAGACAAGCATATTGATCATAGAGTAGTAGAGAGTCAGAAAACACCCTGGACTTTAATCAGTGTTGTATCTGCTTAAATGTGCAGAGCTCAGAATGTATGGTAATGGACATATTTATCCTTATTCTTCTAAATTTTCATCTGTATTTCTCATTGCTTAATCAGATAAACTGTATTTTTCTTTATATGTTTATATTAACCATGAATAAGATAGTATTACCAGACTACCAATTACACATAATTAAGATGAAATTAAGTTCTAAAGTAAAATGTTGTCCTATAATTTAGATATTATAGTAACTGGAAAAAGAAACTCAAATTGAATAAAACTTAATGTATAAAAAATGTTGGAAATTAACATCTATTCAAGCCACTATGAATAACACTGTTGTTTGGAATACATGTGTAGGGAGAGGAAAGAGAACTAAACATATTTTACAGACAAATGAAATCAACTTTAACTGAAACCCAGAGAAAAAAGGGAAAAATGAAACTTCTTAACGTGGGGCAAGTATTAGTAGACTCCTTTAAGAGAGATTCTGGTAGACAGGTCACTTTCATAGCAGAAAGTGGTTGTGCAAATATGTAAAATTCTTGGTATATTAAGATGAAAAATCTAAATAGGTTACCTGTGAAAAGATTCAAATGGAAATACACTAACATAGAATTGATAAATTATAGGGTTGTAAGCAGATACAATTCTTATAAGAAACGTACATGCGATGTGTATGCAAAGGCTTATACTTTGGAAGTCCATGTTAAAATATTAATAGTGATTCTTTGTGAGTGGTGAGAATGTTATTTTTATTTTTTTATAACTTTCTATGTTGTCTGAAGTTTTTGCCATGTGTATTTTATTTTCAGTTAGAAAAATATGTAATATCCTCTATTAAATATGCTAATATATTTTCATTGTAAAAGCTTCTACTCATGAGATAAATACTCATACTATTTTGGGTTGTAGCCTTACTTTGTGTATTTACATATGCTGACAGGTGTAGTTACACATAAATATATTCTTTTATCATAAATGAGATCATCTTACATATGCTACTGTTTATTCATTTATTAATAATCCTACAGAATTTTTCATATTGGTACTTTTAGATCCAGGTCAGTGATTTTAATAAATGCTTTATTTATTTATTTATTTATTTATTTATTTATTTATTTTTGAGACAGAGTCTTGCTCTGTTGCCAGGCTGGAGCGCAGTGGCGCAATCTCGGCTCACTGCAACCTCTGTGTCCCAGGTTCAAGCGATTCTTCTGCCTCAGCCTCCCAGGTAGCTGGGACTATAGGCGCATGCCAACACGCCCAGCTGATTTTTGTATTTTTAGTAGAGACGGGGCTTCACCATGTTGGCCAGGATAGTCTCAATCTCCTGACCTCGTGATCTGCCCGCCTTGGCCTCCCAAAGTGCTGGGATTATAGGCGTGAACCACCGTGTCTGGCCTATATTTTATTACTATTAAAATTTAACAAGTTAGCAAACTTTTTACTATTTGATTTATTTTCATCCTGTACAACCATTTAAGCAGTACTTTATAGCCATTAACAAGGACTTTGTGGGACAGTTTCAAAAAACTTGGGGAAATTATTTTTGTATAACATCAAACTAAAAGCAAAGCAAAGCAAAAAAATGCAATAGAGCAAGACTGAAAGACACTACATTAAAATATTAGTAGAGGGATCAGAGGTGACTTTTTTCTGTGTCAAAATATTAGTGGTGAAATTAGAGTGATTTTTTTTCACCTTATGCCTTTTTGTATTGACATATTTTCTATAATAGTTAAGGAATTATTTTGAAAATATAAAAAATATAAAATATTTATTTGACGGAAGCCTGCATTCAACTTAGTGTTGTTATACAAATTGGATCTTAAAGTCTTTCAAACTTTAATTACTAAGGGCCTAAGGCTCTGATGAAAAGCAAGACATCACCTCTGGAGAGATGGATCACATGCTTTTCTGAGGCTCTACAAATATGATCTTTATTTATTGTTCTAAACCTGATAATACAAAGTAAAAGTTTCTTTAGTGCTGCACTATTGCTGTACATTTTGTTTCTAGCTAAAGTAGTTTATGTTAGAGTGAATGCAATTTTAAGATACATTCACTAAAATAATACTAAAAAAACTTTGTAGTCATGTTTCTGACAAAGAACTTAATTCACAAATTATTTAAGGATCATGGACACAATATTTAACCAACTATAATATGTTATATCCTTATATAAAATAAGAATAGAATAGTTCAGTATGTATAAAAAGAGATTTCACCAAGAAACACTGTAACTAGACAAAACTAGCATGAAATTATGGTTCATAACTTCATGTTTCTTTCTTTACTTCTCCTAGAGACAGTGAAGTATGAGCCCACTTTAACTAGAGTCAGAGGATTTATAATAAAAAGGCCTCTTTTGGGGAGACACCCTGGGGTACCTAAGGCCACCAGATAACTTTTTGAGCAAATGTATCCATAGATGTCTCTTTGTGTTGTCCTCTTTTTCTTTTGCAAATTTTCCTGAGGTGAGCAGAGTCATTCAACATAAAATTCTTCCAACCTTCAAGAAGAAAGTCTTTCTTGAGCTGTGTCTCCTCAGCTCCAGTGCCTTCCCCTTGCGTACTGATGCTGTGCAGGGCAATCCTGCCTTTAAAATGCAGGAAACTTGTTTGTGCTATATTTTTTATCCTTTGATCCTTACCAGACAGTTGTTTCACAGTTTGAGTCTCAAAGCTGTGGCTTAAATGATGGCCAAATTCAAGAGTACACAATCTATAGCTTGATACTGAGTATATAATATCTGGTCTTTCCAACTCAGGCACAAGTCTTACCCTTTGCCTTAAAATCATGGCTAGCAGTTTGAAATTTAGTGTTCTTTTTTTTTCCCATTTTGTTAGTCATTTTTAAGGAATGAACATCTAGTGAGACTGAGTTTTCAGCAATATATCAGAACTTTTGTATCCTAGCAAGTATTAATTCCTTCAACAGTTCCCTTGGGAAAATATATTGTTTTGCCAACAAAGATGCTGTTGCTTAGTGCTCTTCAGAGGCAATTTTCTAGTTACACATGAAAAAATTTATTATTACTTTGATAGAAAATGTCCTCTTTTCTCCCCACTATTCTGTCTTATCTACCTCTTTCTTTTTCTGAATTTTCCCCTTCACTCCTTTTCATTTAGTTAATTAATTGGCTGGTGCATTAATTCATTCAATCATTCATTCAACAAATAGTTATTAAGTGCCGTTCCTGCTGAGCCCAACTTAATTTTGGGCTTTCTTTTGCCTTTCTGTTTTTTTCTTTCTTTATTATTATTTTTTTTTTTTGGAGGCAACATAATTGTGCAGCCAGACATATACTAGAAGCTGGAAGTAGCCTTTCCTAGGGTACACTTGGAAATTGATTAAAATCCGATATGCTTGATGTTAGACTTCTTGAAATGTCCTTATTAGGAGGGAGTTTATTTGAAGAAACATTGCAAATTAATATGAATAAAAATCTAGGACTACTTGTAAAATATCCCAAATAATTCAGTATAACTTTAGCATGTATATATGGTCCTTCACAGTCTAGCTTCAATCTCCCCCTCACTCGGTGTCAGCTAGTCCCTGCCCATATTGGATACTTTAATTAGCATCATATAGAACAGTTGTTCTCAATCCTGAACAAGGGGCCATTTTGCCTTCTACCCCATGAGATACTTAGTAAACATGTGGAGACATTTTTGATAGTCATAACTCTGTGTGTGTGTGTGTGTGTGTGTGTGTGTGTGTGTGTGTGTCTGTGTCTGTGTATGTATATGTATTACTGGCACCTAGTGGGCAGTGGCCAGAGGTGCTGCTAAACATCCTACAATGCACGAGACAGCCCACAAAACAGTGTTATCCAGCCCCAGGTGCCAATAGTGATGAGATGGAGAAAGACTGCTGTGAGCCTGTCACAGGTCATGCCTAGGCACCAGCTCTTTCTTTGGTTCATAAACCTCTAATCTTAAAAGTCATCTCAGAGGACACTTTCTCTTTAAAATGTTTTCTCAACTTGATTTGCCCTCCTAATATGCTTAAAGAGTGTTTTCTTATTGCTTCAGTTTTTTCTTATGCATTAAGTTATGTAACTGAATTCTCTACATTTCTGTCCCTTGCACTAGGCTGTAAATTGCTCAAGGACATGGAAAGTATGTCTTGTTAACCTTTGTTACTCAAATGCTTACTGCATGGCAGGTGCTTAATATATGTTTATACAAAGAATGAAAAGAAATAGGTGACTAATATCCAAAATGCCAGCCATGAGTTGCTGTCAAAGGTCAATCGTCTTTCCTTCAGTAAACAATAGCTCCTGATACTCCTCTGCTAACATCTGAAGCATCAATAGATTTTTGAAAAGAGAAAAATTGAAAGCAGAGTTCCAAGAGAACCTGCATATCTGTTAGTTCTAACTTGTAGCACCTTGCTACTTTGGCATTTTAGAAATTCTAACAGGTCAAACATGTGCTGATGTTGAGGAGAAAACAAATATTTTGTCGTATTATGCTCAGATGTTTTCTAGCAAAACAGCACTTAACCACAACAAGCCAGAGTGCCAAGCTGTGAGACTGTGACACCATTAGAGATGCTAAAGGGGTAGGCCTCCTGCACCTTGTCAGAGCCAAAGGCAGAAGGCCTACCTCTTGCAAGAGCTAAGGGACACGTGTTAACTGCAGTGATTCCCATCACAGGCAGCACTTCCAGATGGGGACTTTCTAATCTGGCTACCGAGGCTACGCTAAAAATTTACCTGGGTATTAGTCAGGGTTCTGCAGAGAAACAGAATGAATAAGAGATACGTAGGAAGACAGGTAGGTAGGTAGATAGATTTATTATGAGGAATGGCTCATATGATTATGGGGGCTGAGGAGTTCTACAATCTGTCATCTGTAAGCTGGAGATCTAGGACAGTTAGTGGTGAAATTCCAGTCTAAGTCCAAAGGCCTGAGAATTAGGGGAGTCTATGGTATAAGCCCCAGTCTAAGGGCAGGAGAAGACTAACTTCCCATCTCAAGAAGGCAGGCAAGAAGGAAAAAAAAGACCAAAATCCTCCACCTTTTGTTCTCTTCTCACTGAATTGGACAATGCACTACCACACTGGAAAGGACAGTCTACTTCACTGAGTCCACTGACTCAAATGCTGATTTCATCCAGAAACACCCTCACAGACACACTCAGAAATAATGTTTAACCAGACATCTGGTCATACCCTGGTCCAGTCAAGTTGACACATAAAATTAACCTAAATGACATGCGTTTCAGAAATAAGTTGGTATGGGGTTAGTAGGGTAAGAGAGATTCTGAGAGAGTTTATATAGAGTTCGTGCTTCAGAGGAGGGTCACGTATCTGCCTGGCTCCTTATGGAATAAGACACCAGCAGGTATTCTTTTCTTGACACATGAAAGCTGCTTGAAATACAGCATTACTCTTCATTTTGTATCTTTTGGGTATGTTTTGAAAGTTCTGTGTGAGAATTTTTTTTAATATTTACTTTTGGAAGGAAACCTGAAGAAGCCTTATGGGACCAGGAAGCAGTAATTACAACAGCATGCTCATACAGAGCATGAGAAAATACAGAGAAAAAGAAGGAATTCTAATTAGGACTGAAAACCCAGAAAATAACCTGAAACTTGCTAAGCAAGCCCTGGGAAAATTTTTGCAATTATTTTATTTTATTATTTTATTATTATTATTTTTGAGGCAAGGTCTTGCTCTGTCACCCAGGTTGGAATGCAGTGGCACAGTCACAGCTCACTGCAGCCTTGGCTTCCCAGACTCAAGTGATCCTTCTGCCTCAGCCTTTGAGGTAGCTGTGAATATAGACACATGCCACCATACCCAGCTTTTTTTTATTTTTATTTTTATACAGATGCGGTCTTACTGTGCTGCCCAGGTTGGTCTCAAACCCCTGGACTCAAGTAATTCTCTTGCCTCAGCCTTCAAAAGTATTGAGATTACAGGTGTGAACCACTGTACCCAGCCTGCATTTTTATATTAATAAGATAATATGGCTTGGCCACTTTAGAAATTGTTTTATCTGAGATATAGACATGAACCTGAATAAGTTTTTCTAAACTTGCAAAAATTTCAGGCTATACCTAATTAAATAAGATAGAAGAAATAGCTTAAAATGTACATAAATTCACAAGAAAAGAATATTTAAAATAAGTGAGGGATCATAGGCAACAATATATATAAACAAGTGAGGTGGATCAAAATGTGAGGAAAATACAAAAGATGCATATAAATATACACTCAGCACTTCTGGATTTCCAAGTAAAAATGTGAAGAGAGCAATGAGTTTTTGCACATACTCCAGGATTCATAAAACAAAAACACATTTGTTCCCAATACTGAGATACCAGGAATATGTTACTTGTATGTTTGCTTGAGATAGCGAACAAGGTCCTCAACAACACCTTCACAGTGACTATCTTGAGGGTGCTTCTCTTAAAGATTTTCCTGGCATCAACCATGACTTGTTGCTCAGGGTGGTCACTGCTGATGTTAGCAAGTAGGCAGGCATTTACCCAATTAAACACTATAGTTTAGAGTTTCTATAGAAATGTATGTCCTGAATATCTATTGTGGACTTGAATGTTCTGTCATCCTAATTCCCACTCCCCCATACATGTTTTGGTTGCTTTACCTTTCCCATGATTCACATAATAGCGAACTCATAGAAGCAATTTTGCAAAGCATAGTCCTGACCTCTTTGTTGGATCAGGGATGGGAATCTGATCCAAGGTAAACTAAGCTGGTGTTTACTCTAGATCCTGTTCCTTGCCCATAATTTATTAGTTCAGCAAGAAACAAATTAGCCACCTCTTAAGCAGTCATAGTCCATTTCCCTGGTATTACGGAATTGAGAACGAGAGAGAGAGAGGTGATAACCTCTTTTTTGGAGGTTGAACTTATAAAGGAAAGTCATGTATAGTCAAGACTATGCATCTTTAGCCCCCCTATGAACCAAAGTAGCAGAAGCTGGTCTGCAGATAGAGGGAGCCATGAATCAGGTATGCAGAGAAAAATACAGATAAGCCACAGATTTGAGCCCATTTATGAGGCCTGATTGTTGTATTAGTCTGTTCTCATGCTGCTAATAAAGGCATACCTGAGACTGGGTAATTTATAAAAGTAAGAGGTTTAATGGACTCTCAGTTCCACATGCCTGGGGAGGCCTCACAATCATGGCAAAAGGCAAAGGAGAAGCAAAGGCACATCTTAAATGGCAGCAGGCAAAAGAGCTTGTGCAGGGGAATGCCCGTTTATAAAACCATCAGATCTCATGAGACTTATTCACTATCATGAGAACAGCACAGGAAAGACCCACCCCATGTTTCAATTACCTCCCACCAGCTCCCTCCCATGACACATGGGAATTACAGAAGCTACAATTCAAGATGAGATTTGGGTCGGAACATAGCAAAACCATATCAATTGTATTTCTGGTCTTGGTTTCCATGGCTCAACTCTATTTCCTATAAGGAATGGAAGGGGAGAGGGCCCTATTACTTAGAGTTATGAGTTTAATGCACATTCCCCAAGATATTCTTTTTATTTATCTCCACCAAGTTTTAGTTGGTTTTGCTGCAGTGGGCCAGTGTTATATTCACTGACAAGTGCCTGGACAGCATCTGTTCTGTGTCAGTTAATCAGTGACAAAAAGTGTGCTGTAACAACCAGCTGAATTGAGGAGAACAATGACAACCTTTTATGAAAATGTCCTCTAAAGAGGACATACACAAATAGAATGCAGCCTCAAATCTGTTCTAAGTATGCGTAGCTAATTTGGAATATTATTTTGTCATTTTAACTTAAAATCATATTTTTAATATTCCCACTGGAGAATTTTAAGACCAGAAGATGAAAGACTCTCTTAGGTGAAGTTCAAATATTCCATCAACTTTGGTGAAAAGCAGGTTTCACTTTCTCTTGTGTCCATTTTCTTATAGCTATTTGTGGAAATGTGTCTTTTAGGTTATAATCTTCTTGAAAGCCAGGACCCTGTGTTATCTCTCCTTTCATCCCCCATGGGTGTTTGTAGAATGTCTGTCACAAAAGGGATGCTCAGTAACAATCTCTAATGGTCCTTTTGTCAAGAAGAGGAACTTTCCAGAAGAGCTTGAATTGACAGTGGTTGCTCTGTGAAAAGAAGCATGAGAGGTCTTGATCCTTCATATGTAAAATCATCAAGTATCTTTCTTAGCTGAAATAGCTCAGTTTTTCCATTCAATTACATCAAACTCACTGTTACATAGGCAGCACTAGAACATCGTGTGCCTTTCTGCTGGGAGTGAAGTGGGGAAGGTCATTCTCCAGCACACACAGGCGGGGACATATATGCCTGTATCAGAGAGGCTTAAAGAGAGGCAGGAAGGGGAAGCAGAAGCCATTGACCTGCTTTAAGCAGAGGCTTCCCTTTTACATGCCTTGCAGAAGGAAAGCTGAGCTTCCTTCAAAGTGGGTAGGGTTGAAACTCTCACCCTCAGAGTTCATCTGTTAACTGGTGGTCAAGGGATGACCTCTTTCCCCATGAAGCTGTTTATTAGGTACACTTTGGAAAAAATGCGTACTTTCCCCTCCAAAAGAACACAGCTTAGCCTGTAAAAGAGCTTATTTTTCTGAGTATGTAAAATTGTACAAAATCAGAGCAGAATTGTCTGCTAAAACCTGTACTCTTCTGTACTCACATGAATTGAGAGTCTGAAAGCTTTGTTAGGCTTTTCAAAATTAGCTTGGGCTCTTAGGCTGCAGGGCTCTGGGCAGATTGCCTAGGCAGCCTTCAAACAGGCAAATAATAGGCAAAAGTAGTGCGTCCTTTTGACCTACTCTCTACAGTTCAAACTGATTGAAGATTATTTAATAATGATAATATTTTCCATGGTAAAATGTATCCATAGTTTTCAGTCTCCAATGGCATTCTCATGCAAAACTAACTTTAATCTGAAATACCAATGACATATATTTAGACAAGTTTCCCCTGCTATGAGGCAAAACTCATTATGATGCAATCACTTTAAATGAGAGTACATATGGGTTATTAAGTATCAAACTGTGTGTGTTTATTACTCATTACTATATTTAGAGATTTAAATAGCTTTACTGCTTTGAGAGGTAGTTATAAGCTTTCAAATATTTAAAACCTAAACGACTAAACTGTTCGTTTATTCCAAGTTCATGATTTTGTTTAGACAGGAGTGAAATGTTTTTCATGTGCAACTTTCCATCAATGAAGTGAATTTCAGGCACGGAATATAGAGAAGACAGTTCCTAAATTAGTGTCAGTGTGTGGAGAGGCAATATGAAGTTAAAATGTTGAAGCTTTTATCTGGACTATTCAGGCCAAAACTGCTTTGAGGAAAATAAAGGGTAAGTTTGGATTTACTATGAAAGGTCATTTCTGTGGTTGTAACTATATAATGCCAGAAATTTGGAACTATCAAGATGAAATATCTGAGGCTACTTTCTTTTTCAGAGCTTGGTATTTAATACCACAAGGGAACCTAAATATTAGTCACAATCACTTAATAATTGGTCTAACTCTTTGCTCAGGCTACCTCAGATTTAAAGGAGATTAAAAATATGAGAGTGACAGGCTTCCAAAAATAGATTATAATTGAACTTAATTATAGCCTTTGGGAAATAGATGAAAATATGATAAAAGCTCAATATCAAGCCAAAACTACTGCTGAGAGCCCTTCTCTGTTTTCTTTTTAAAGATGATTAGGGAACTTTAGTTTAACAATTTATTTTCCACAATAAAACAGTAGCATTAATAACAAAAACTACATTACAATTAAAAATATTGCTTTTAAGACATTGGAAGACATTTGCAGTCATAATTTTGAAGTTTCTAAGACAAGATTCTTACGTGGAAACAATAATAATAATATAATAATAATAATAATAATAATAATAATAATTGATATGTTTCTTCTTTGTGGTGATATTCCTGGACAAGCTATTTATAGGTCCTTTCTTTTGGAATGAGTCTTAAACAAAAAGAGCTTTTTTGGGGGAAATGAAAACAATGATGTGTAATTTTATAATTTTATATTATCTTTAATTAGGCTTCTCCTAATCCCCCTCCTCTAGTCTCCTCCTTTTGTTTTTCTTTTCATTTTTTTCCTGTGTGTTTTTTATATTTATTTATTTATTTATTTATTTATTTTATTTTTAGAGACAAAGTCTCTCTGTGTTGGTCAGGTTGGAGTGTACTGGCATGATCATGGCTCACTGCAGCCTCAAGCTCCTGGTCTCAAGTGATCCTCCTCCTGTCTCAGCCTCCCAAGTAGCTGGGACTACAGGAGCATACCATCATAACTGGCTCATTTTTTTTCCCATAGACAGGGTCTTGCTTTGTTTTCCAGGCTGGTCTTGAACTCCTGACCTTAAGCGATCCTCCTGCCTTGCTCCTCTAAGGTATTTAAAGGGCTTAGGTATCCATAATAATTCTGCTCTGTGCTCTAAGGAAAAAGCTCAGCTCATCATCCTTCAAGGACTGTAGAGTTGCTGTGAGGCTGAGAACATACCCGAGAGAAAACTGCTGCCTTCTCAAGCAATCTTTGCAGTGTGGTAGCTTTGTAGTGAACAGGTTGGGTTTAATGAGAATTCTGCCTTAGCAGGTAGTTCTGAATATTAAATCTTAATCTTCCCAAATGATGCACATTAAGGACAGATAACTCAAGAGAGAATTCTAAGAGACAATAACTTACCTGCTTTGAACAATCCCCTCAACTACTGGTAAGAAAAATATTATTTAAAAGTGTCACCAGCTGGATGCTTTTATTCTTTACTGTGTGAAACCTGGCTGTGGTTTATTAAATTTTATTTCTACATATATCACTTTATTACAGTGAAAAGCTATATAAAATGTATTTTTAGCTGCTGGGACCAGTTCCACCTTCCCTAACCTTCTCCCTCCCCTCCAAAACAAGGCTCAAATATATAAACTCTATAGGAAAAGTTGTGTTAAGTCCCATAGAAACCCTGATGCTCAGTTATTTGATAATATTAATGATTTGTTTAATGATGGCTGCCTGGTTAAGTGTTACCTAGGCAATTCTTTACATTTTCGACACAAATTCTCATTGCATATTTTGACCATTGTTTATTTAGAAACAGCAGTTCACCTGTGATCTAGTACCTAGGGCAAAGGATATTGAAGGTCTAGTGCTGACCTTGTTTATTCATTCGTTTAATGAATATTTACTGAGCTCTTCTGATGTGGAATATGTTGTTTTCGAATTACTGAGAGACACAAATTTGGTCTCCAATAGGTTGACAATATATTAAGGAAGATAAAGTATGTGCAAGTTATTGTACTATAAGTAAGATAATAGCCACATATTAAGTCAGGGGGAAGGGATGGATTATTCAAAAATAGGGAAAGAAAGAATTACTGAAAAAACTGTAAACTGGTACTAACTTTATGAAGACCAGTTTGTTAATAGCTGAGCTGTCTGTAGGCCCCGAAATTCTACTCTGGTCCAGAAATTCTACTTTTAGGGATTTGTCTTACAGATATACTCATGCATGTGAGACACTGTATATTTATGACAGTATTTATTGCCACATCATTCTTAGTATTTATAAAAAGAAAAAAGACAAATTTCAGTGCCCATCCGTGGACTTTCATGTAATGTAACATTTGCAGTTGTTAAAAAGAATGAGCTACCCGTTGATATAATCCACTGAGGAGAACACAATATCACTTCTTTATTACACTTGTCAACGTTGTATAAACTCAACTTGAGCATAAAAAAACATTAGATAAACCCAAATCAAAGGACAATGTAGAAACTACCTGACCAGTGCTACTCCAAGTGTCAGCATCATGAAGGACGAAGGAAGACGGAGTCAGTATCTCAGATTGTAGGACATTAAGGAGATAGAAAACTAAATGAGACATGAGGGACTGGGCTAGATCCTGAAACAGAAAAAGTGCAATAGGAAAACAGATGAAATTCAAATAACATCTATGGTTTAGTTAATAGAATTGTAATAATGTTTATTTATTAGTTTTTATAATTGTGCAATTGTTATGCAGTCTGTTGACATTAGGGGAAGCTGGGTGAAGAGTGTATGGGAAATCTCTGCTGATTTGCAACTCTTTCATATGTATGAGGAGATACATATATGTTAAAATATGCACAGACTATCTGTATAGTTAGGGCCTATAAAGTGGTTGAGAACTCAGGACCTGGATTTAGTAAGAAGCTGCCTGGCTACTTACTAGCTCTGTTACCCAGAACTTTGTCTTTTTATTTCTAGCCTTCTGCAGCATGAAAATGAGGATAAGAGTTATGAGGGTTGTTGTGAGGACTAAATCAAACGATGCATATAAGACACTTGGCATTGTGCCTGGAACAAATAAGCATTTGAAATGGTAGCAAATATCTAGAAGTAGGAATTAATAGCAGAATCAGTAGACGATGTAGTATCAGTAGAAGTTGGAGTAACAGTAATAGTGATATGTTTAGTGTTCACTGAATACCACTGGAGAATTAATATAATATTATCCCCCTAGGAACTTAGAGGCTCATTGGATAGCAAAGATAAAAACATGAAGTAATTGTAAGACATGTCACTGTGTATGAGCATGTAGGTTATATACTGTGCAAACTACACGATCATATGTGACAGCTATAAATATAAGAAAATTCATAATAGTATGTAATAGTGTAGTATGTAATATGCAAGGTCTAAAATATTCATAGCAAGTTTTATTTTGGAGGGAATTTAACTTGCTTTGATGACTACTATAAAGGACTGTAGACTTTATTCCAGAAAAGGAAGACAATGGGTGTGGAAATGAAAGAAATACACTTGTGGGATGTTGAAGAGTAGTTAAAGCAGTGACTTCCTGTTGGGTAATAAAATGAAAATGCACTTGAGTGGGGCTAACAGCATGTTGGAGACAGAACAGGAGTCACTGGACTTGAAGACAAATCAATATAAATTACATATTGTGAAAAAGAGAAATAAATTTTTTTAAAAAGAACTTCATATAACTGTGAGGCAGTATTGAGTGTTCTAAGATATATTTAATTGGTGTCCTCAAAGGAAAGAGGAAAGAGAATTGAGCAGAAATAAAATCTGAAGTACTAATGACCAAACAAATCCCTAAAGTTGATTTTAAAAAACACATTATCTTATAGACATAGAAGCTCTGTAACACCGAAGTAGGATGACAGAAAGAAAATGACACTTAGAAAGCTCATGTTCAAACTGTTGGAAACCAAAAATAAGTGGAAAAATTTTGAAAGCAAAATGAAAAATAACATATTTTATGCTGGACCCCTTCCTTATGCATGATGGTTGACCTCTCATCAGAAATAATGGAGGCCAAGAAGATAATGGAATGACATCTCCTAAATACTGAAAGAATTTAAAAAAGACAAAGACACATCTGCTAATTCATATATCTATATCCAGAAAAAAAGATCCTTCAAAAATGATAACATAAGCCATTATCAGATCAACATGTATTGAGAGAATTTGTGGTCAGCAGACTGTACTACAATAATTGTTAAAGGAAGTACTTTGGTTTGAGTGAAATGACACTAGATAGACACTTGGATTTTAGAGAGAAAGAGAAAGACATAGAAATTGTAAATGTATCTGTTAAAATGAAACACTATACATTTTCTTTTAAATTTTTCTCTAAAAATTTTAATTTTTATAAATATGGATTATATGCATATTTACACTTTGTGCATTGTTAATGTGTTTATATTAATATATATGTATATATGTGTATATATATGCATTTTAAATAAAATAGCATCCTACTAAATAAGTAGACATTTTAAAATTTAAAAATCTTAATCCTAAGAAGTCACTAAAAGTTAATATAAAGAGGTAATGACACACACACACACACACCCCAGGAGAAGGAATAAAATGTTTGGCCAAAAAAAGTTAGAAAAAGTAGGGACTGTGGGGCAAAAACAGATGAGACAAAGAAACAAGAGGAAAATGCTATGTGTCGTACACATATTTATAGAACATTACAACTGAATAATAAAAGAAACAATCCAATAAAATTGGCAAAAAGATTTAAACAGATTCTTTTCAAAGAAAAATGTATGAATGACCAATAAAACACATGAAATGATATTCACTAACTCTAATCATCAAACAAATGCAAATTAATGCTACTAAAAGACAATCACCTCTCACCAATTAGAATGGATAAGTTAAAAAAGACTGAGATCATTAAGTGTTGGCAAGGATGTGGAACAGTTGGAATTCTTATCCACTGCTGGTGGGAATAGAAAACGATATCACTGCTTTGGAAAACTATATGGCAATTTCTTATCAACTTAAAAATATATTTACCTTATGACCCAGCAGTCTCATTCCTAGGTATTTATGAAACATAAATGAAAACACATGCTACATAAAGACTTGTATGTGAATGTTTATAACAATATTATTCACAATACCCAAAAAACTTGGAAGTAAGCCAATGACTATCAAACAGTAAATGGATAAATTGTGATATATTCATACAATGAAATAATAATGCTCAGCAATTGAAAAGGAGCAACATATTAATAGATATAAAAATAGATAAGTTATTGTGCCACGTAAATAAACACAAAAGATTATTCTGTATTATTCCATACATCTAAAATCTAGAACGGGTAAAACTAGAGTGGCAAAGAGCAGATCAGAGGTTGCCAATGGCTGGGAGTCAAAAGAGGGTATTAAGTGCAAAATGAGAAGTGAGGGAACCTTTTAAAATCCTGAAACTGTAGTATATTTCAATTGTAATAGTGGTTACATGACTATAATTACCAAAGCTTCTCAAATTATGTATTTTAAATGGGTAAGTTTTATTTAAATACATTCAATAAAGACTTTGAGACTAACATTATAAGCCTAAGTGGGAAATGCCATAGTCTATATTTCTGGACCTATACTGTATCCATAATCTTCATCTTTATCTCTTTAAATGTCTCAGATTTGCTGCTCTTGGAACAATTAAAACTGATAAACTTCCATATTAAGTGGTAGAATGTTCCTGTCTTTAGGCTTTTAAAAGACTGTTAGGTGGTACCCATGTCTGTCTCTTCTCCACTTTTGTGATACAAAGTTGGGTTGGTTGTTCTCTGATTTTAAACTAATTGTGGACTTAAGGCAGCTTTCGTTAGAAATATAACCTAGAATATGACAAAATAATTATATTTTCTTGCTGTTATTTTACATTTATATATTTCTTTTTCTTTAATTTTATTTCTTAAATGCCTCAATTTCCATGGGATTTGTGTTCTCATATAGAAAATTTTACATTGTGATAGAGAAAATCATTTTTTATATCTACCCTTTCAATGACAATCAATTCAACAACTTAGCACAATACCTAAGTATTAGAATAAAAATAAGAAACATAGGGCAAGTACATAAATCCGAAATTTATAATCTACTTGAAATTAGCTACAACTGAAGATGGCTTTTTGCATGGTTTGTCTAATAACAATTCTAATTTTCTTTTAGAAATATTATCTTGTTTTTAAGAACTGAGCTCTCTTAAATTCTTTGTGCTTAGTTCATGTCATCATTAACAGTCTCCCTTCCAGGCAAGTATTAAGGTGCTTCTCTTTGTATATCATGACCATCTAACCTAGTTTTTCCTCATTCTCTTGTTCTCTTGCCCTGGGATACATATTAGTAAGACAAATCTGAGGGACATGGAAGATGCTATTGTCTGATATGTAACAGTCACATAATATATTTGGTATGAATAAGGGAGAGTGTTCAGATTGTATGAAGATAGGTCAGTATGCCAGGGATTACAGGCATTGTCTTTTCTAGGGAGACCCTGTCTCTGATAGTGCTTTTTTCAGGGAAGTACACCTTGGATCAGAAGTAGCTTCATTCAGGGTTAGAGATTCCTCTGCAATTGTTTTGCTGGAAACAGCCTCACAACCTTGTACCTATTCCATGAATTTAGGTAGTCTTTAGCCTGAAAATGTGTGTTATTTGGCTAGAACAATGTTGGTCATCACAAGTTGACTGCCAATATTTAGAAATTTAGAGATTTCACAAAAGCCTGGATTTCCAGCTTTTTTTGCACAACTGTCTGCTACTGCTTGGTAGGAGCTTCCCTCTTTGGATGGAGCAGGTACTCTCCCTTTGTCACCTACTTAAACATTCCCTAATGTCTTTCTGACTCTGAGACCCATTACCACTTGCCATTTATCATCATGTTTGAACTATGCTTTTTCTCTAGTAGAGTTAAGAGGGAATAAAAGATATCTCTTTTCATTATGAAGGAAAATCTTGGTGTTGTAGACTATCAGCATGTCTGAGTGCCTATGGAAACCCATCTCCTAGATCTCCTCTAACTTTTGCTGTGTGATGCTTGTACAAATAAATATCTGCCTTAGTGGAAAAAGGATATGATACCTTTCAAGGTTACTTCACCCTCAGCTTATTCTTTTCTACACAGTATCCAGAAAAAAAGAATTTTCCTGCATAAATCCTTTCTATTTTTAAATTTTTGTTATTATTTTTCAGTTTCTTTTTATTATTATTATACTTTAAGTTCTAAGGTACATGTGCACAACGTGCAGGTTTGGTACATAGGTATACATGCACCATGTTGGTTTGCTGCACCCATCAACTTGTCATTTACATTAGGTATTTCTCCTAATGCTATCCCTCCCTCAGCCCTCCACCCCCTGACAGGCCCCGGTGTGTGATGTTCCCTGCCCTGTGTCCAAGTGATCTCATTGTTCAGTTCCCACCTATGAGTGAGAACATGTGGTGTTTGGTTTTCTGTCCTTGTGATAGTTTCCTGAGAATGATGGTTTCCAATCCTTTATATTATTTTGTTTTTCATAATGTCATTTAATTCATCTAAGACAATAAGCAACCATCATAGAGTGAACTCATTATTTTGTATTATACTGACAAAAATTCATATGTAAGCATTTGGGGAAAACAAGCAACAAAGCAATGAATTTTTTTAAAAAGGAAAATAAAATCCCCTAAGGAAAAGAAAATAAGAAGATGGGTGATTCTGTCTGCCATTCCGTTTAGTAGTACATGCCCTGAAGTGAGAAATGAATTCACTATTCCTTCTAGCAGCTTCAGTTCCCCAGTTCTTCTCATTGTTATCATTGGGAGCCTCTGAATGGCATTCTTGTCTTCATAAAAACATTTTTTATGATAACATGACCCATTGGAAGAAACAGACTTGCACCCAAGTATTATAAGACTCCACTAACTGTTTCTTTCAATTTTGATATGACTGTTATAAACTTTTACTGGAAATTTCCCAATAACCATGTTAATATTATGGATTTACCTTATTATAACCTACCTGTAGCCTTCCTTATAAACAAAGCCAGCCATACCTTCACTGTGTGGAGTTTAGTTTGGCTAGTTCTTATGACCTTCTTTACAGAAAAGAAACTATCAGAGTAAACAGGCAACCTACAGAATGGGAGAAAATATTTGCAAACTATGCATCAGACAAAGGTCTAACATTTAGAATCCATAAGGAACTTACACAATTCAACAAACAGAAAACAACGCCATTAAAATATGAGCAAAGCACATGAATGGACTGTTCTCAAAAGAAGACATAAAGGCAGCCAAGAAACATGAAAAAATGCTCCACATCACTAATCGTCAGAGAAATGCAAATCAAAACCACAACAAGATAACATCTCATACCAGTCAGAATGACTGTTATTAAAATGTCAAAAAATAACAGATGCTGGCAAGGCTGCAGAGAAAAGGGAACATTTATATACTGTTGGTGGGAATATAAATTATTTCAGCCACTGTGAAAAGCAGTTTGGAGATTTCTCAAAGAACTAAAAACAGAATTACCATCCGACCAAGCAATCCCATTACTGGGTATATACCCAAAGGAAAATAAATTGTCCTAGAAGAAAGACATGTGTGTTCTATGTTTGTTGGAGCAGTATCACAATAGCAAAGTCATGAAATCAAACTAGGTGACCATCACTGGTGAACTGGAAAAAAAATGTGGAACATATACACCATGGAATATGATACAGCCATTAAAAAGAATGAAATTATGTCTTTCACAGAGACATGGATGCAACTGGAGGCCATTATCCTAAGCAAATAAATGCAGGAACAGAAAACTGAATATTGCATGTCCTCACTTATAAGTAGGAGCTAAGCATTGACTTCTTGTGGACATAAAGATGGGAACAACAGACCTTGGGGACTATTAGAGGGAGGAGAGAGGGAGTGGAGCAAGGGCTGCAAAACTACATATTGGATACTATGCTCACTACCTGGGTGATGGGATCATTCATACCCCAAACCTCAGCATCATGCAATATATCTATGTGACATACCTGCACATGTACCCTCTGAATCTAAAATAAAATCTGAAATTGTAAAAATTCATATAGGTAAAATTTGTTTTCCTGATCCTCTTTAAAAAAAAAAACAAAAACAAAAACAAAAAACCTCTGGATCTCATGGGGGCTTTTCCAGCCAAATTTTGTATTTACTTTTTAATTTTTTTCTGAGTATTTTTCTCCTACTGTCTTGTCATGTAGCAGCTCCATTATTCACCATCTTTTCCTTCTCTTTCAATTGCCTCGAAAGCCTCTTGAAACAAAGAGATTTTGAAAAGTCTCACGGCTTTAAACTTTTTAACTAAGAACTTAGAAATATGAAAAATTAGGGACAAATGTCAACATTTTACAAGTCTATATTTTTCATTCAGTGCGCCTTCGTATCTTGTTACTATGCCTTTGAATGTGTAAATAAATGTGTAAATAAAACATTTGCTTTGGATAATGTCATTTAGAATCAAAGATTATAAATTACCTTCTGGTCATAAATATCAAATCCATAATCAGTAATAAAGCTGTATTCCTTAATTACTTTGTTTTTACCATCTGCCAAGGAATACATTAAAGAATGTAGTAAACAAAAGGAGTGAGCTGTAAACGCTGACTGAAATTCTAGTGAAACACCCATAGGAATTTTTTCTTGCGATAAATGACATATTACTTCAGTGTAAGATTTGAGGTAAGAGGAAGGAAAAGTAGCTGTCAAGAAAGATTGAAAGGCAGATGCGTGATGGGTATAAGGCAAACTTCAACTGCTTTTAAGTTTTCTTAAATGTTAACTCTTGGTGGGACTATAGCGCAACATTTATACCCTACCTTTCTGTACATAATTATATACGTATAAGAGAGGCATTTGCCCAGTAATGTTAAATTTTGGAATTTAAGTGCCCTTACTCAAGTAGTAAGATGTAAAATCCTGGGCAAAGTTTTTACGGCAATAACTGTTAGGCTTAAAGTCTTGGAATATGCATTTAAGTTTGAAAATTGTTTTCTATGCTTGGGCAGTATGCAGTTTCTCATCAATTTGAGGCACAGGGAATGTTCAAGTTAGAAGGATTTTGGACTGGGTGCTGTGGCTTTCAACTGTAATCCCAGCACTTTGGGAGGCCGAGGTGGGTGGATCACCTGAGGTCAGGAGCTTGAGACCAGCCTGGCCAACATGGTGAAATCCCGTCTCTACTAAAAATTCAAAAATTAGCCAAGTGTGGTGGTGGGCACCTGTAATCCCAGCTACTCCAGAGGCTGAGGCAGGAGAATTGCTTGACCTCAGGTGGTGGAGGTTGCAGTGATCCAAGATCGCGGCAGTGCACTCCAACCTGGGTGACAAGAACGAAACTCCATTTCAAAAAAGGTGGGAAAAAAAAAAGGATTTTGGAAATCACATAAGCCAAGGATTCATTTTATAGATAAGTCAGTCAAAATAAAAATAATGAAATGTATGAAGATGAATTTAGGGCACTTTAGGGTACTTGTTTGAAGATTCTGTTGTTGTTTTGCATTGCTGCGGCTATTAGAGGAAAAGACCAAGCCCAAAATACATACTGATATAAAAAGATAGTAATTTGAGTTAAAGAGAGAAAACAACGAAGGCTGCATTCATTTGAATGAAAATTGTGTTGTTCATGGTAGAGGTTACTGTAATGACTTAAACACTTGCCAAATATTATGGAGGAGGTTGGCAGCAACTTCTAAAAAAAATAAATTTCTTTTCATGTTGAATCAGTAATCATAATGATTTCTGAAGGCCAATTTTAATTGTATTAGATGGTGTGGTTATTAGCACTAAGCATATTAATTTTATTAACCAGAATTTATATGATAACCTTTTGAAATTTTGGGGTCGATCATGAATCATTTTATCTGCATATTAAGAATTTTTAATTTTAAGAACAACAAACTTCTAATATGATCAATTTTAAAAATTTTATTAAATATACATTTGTTTTTAGAATAAATGGTGTTAGGATAATTGCAATCACAAATTTCAATTATCATCTTTTTATTGGTGGAGCTTTAAATTCAAGAATTCCTCTTTATATGGAATTCCAGCATTACTTCTTGTTTGATAAAAAAACTATGTGGGTAAATTATAAAATGTAAAGTCTTAGATTATAACACTGCCAAGCTAGAAATAATGAATGAGATACTTCTTGATAACTCTTAATGTGACTCTTGAACAAATGTATTGTACATGCTTATACTTAAGAGAAATAAAGATGTAATGGAGATTCTAATATGTCTATATACATTTTACAAACATGATGAGCCAAAAAACTTCCTACAATAATATAGTCTGAGACACTAGTCTGAGACGTAAGAAAGCCCTGTATAAATCAGAAAGACAATGTTCAACATGTTTATCAAATTGCCTAATATCTACTATGTTCAGAGATTAAAAAAGAAAAAAAAAGGAGGAAAACATGAAGTATTTAAATCTTTTTAGAATATAAGAATTAATACAAACAAATGACCAAACGGCTCACAGTTCTGAGTCAAACAAGATTTCAGTACTTGGAATTCCACAAAAGCAGCAATGTGCCTGGGGAGCAGAGCTAAAAAAAGGACTTCGAGCATTATCTAGTTTCAAATCCTAGCTCAGCTACATTTTAGCTGTGTAGCAATGGATATACTACTTAAAGTGTCGTAGTTTCAGTTTTAGGTCTTTATCTTAATGGGATTTGCAATAATGTATATAAAATGCCTAGCATGTGATAGGAATCAACATAAGTTATTTTCTTTCCTCTATAAGCCCTGGGTATAAGGGGAACTACTTAACACCCTTTCCTTAGGAACCTAGGATTCACACTTTATTAGGTTAAAAAAATTAAATATAGTTAGAAATTTTCACCAAAAAAGTTAGACAAAGTAAAGTTAGGAAAGTGGAGAAGGGCTGTTGTGAAACCCATTAGTCAAAGCCAGTGCATTAGTTAATTTATCAAGGTTAGAGACCAAGGAAAAGCAATTTATAATAAGGGTTAGAGGGAAGAAAAGTTAGGATCAGGAAGATGGGTTTTTGCTAAGTGAAGAAGGGAAAATAAAAAGCTACACAGGAGAGTGAGAAAACATTTTAAAATAGTCAGGCTGGTGTTATAAGCAGGAGTGCTCACACTTGGGAATTTGTGCCAGCTAGCCCAACTTTACGATGCCTCTAATGAGGACCTGATCCTGTCTATGCTAGACAGGAGATTATATTTTAATGGTAAAGGAGATAGGAAATTATTTGACTATGACCAAATTATTTCACAAACTTGTGACTGTTATGTGAGGAACGCAGAATAAATTGGGGGTTCATTTCCCATGAGGCATAGTATTTGTGAGTAATATTGATAATGTCCCCCTTTGGATTTTTATGAATTTGTTTTGTTTCTGCTTGTATGTAATGAGGAAAGAAGCAAGATGTAAATACCTGAGTAAAACAAATAAACAGGTAAACTATTGCTTGACAATTACACTTGAATACACCAGGAAGCATAGCAGTAGTTTTAGGCATATAGGCCAGAGTTAGACACAGCTGAATTTCATCTCAGTCCTCCCTTTTTTGGGATTTTGATCAAGTTATTAATAGTTTCATGCATCGGTTTTCTTGTTGGTAAAATGAGGTTATAAATACAACACACTTCACGTGGTATGTATGTAAATGACTTAGCACAGATCTCAACATAAACCCAGTATTTGGGTTATCTCTTATCTAAGTTATGGCTGACTAAATACCAGCAAGGAAGGAATGAATGGATAGGTGGAGGATGAAAAAGAGTGAGGAGAGGAGGAGGAAAAAGAGGTAGAAGAATAAAGGAAAGTAGGAAGTAAGTAGGAAGAGGGGAATGGTCAATTTATTAGAACAAAGTTACTTTTTCTTTGTGTTTTAACTTGGAATCTCTGAAGACAAATTATATATTACATAAATAGATGGCATATGCACTTAGTTTTCTTATCCTTAAATGTAATTCCTGTAAGGCACAACAAATGAATATTGAGAGATTTCAGATGCATGCCTAAAATTTAGAGTGAATCTAGAAGTTGGCCACTGTCATATCCTGTCCATCAGCTTCTTTTAAGAGGCTTTTAAATCAAATTCACTTGTAAAAGAATTCAAGTAATTTATAATAGCCAGCTGAAATGTCAACTAGAGACTGAAATTAAGATTTATTTCTGTACTAGTGCCAAAGCAATTGAAATATGGTGTCCTTAGAAAGTGTCATTTGGGATCTTAATGTTCTTAATGGTAGATCAGGAATGCATGAAACAGATGTGAGGTAAAGCTGCCAATTCATCTGTATTTGAAACAGAATTTAAGATATTTTATTTTTCTCTATTAAATATATGTTTGTGCATTTCAGTGTTTTTTTGCTTTGAGACTTTAATATTTCAGGCAGAAAGTCTAGAACATAAATGCTTTATTTATATTGTTTAAGGACTGTTGCCTAAAGAAATCCCCTATTTTGACACAAATCCAAGCCACAAAAATTTACATAACCATAAAATATTTCTGCTTTAAAATTTACCATAAACAAAGACACTGGGTGAACAACCATCTGGGGAAAATATTTGCAACTCACATCACATAAAAGGTGCTAAGTTTCTTAATGTATAAAAAACTCATCCGAATCAGTGAGAAGAATTTAAAATGTATGATAGAAAAATGAGCCAAACATAAGAAAGTTAACAGAAAAAAATACATAAATGTTTCTTTTGTGTATAAAAAGATACTCAGCCTCATTAATTAGTGTCTCTTGAAATTGCGACATCATTTTTTCACTTTTAAGATTAGCGAAGATCAATATTTTTTAGTAAACCATGTTGTTGGCAATTTCTAAAGGAAACAGACATTTTTGTAAAATGGTAGAGGTAAAATTGTCAATAGATATCAAAATAAAAAAAATACATCACCTTTGACTTGGTAATGCTACTCTTTGTGTGTGTGTGTGTGTGTGTGTCTGTGTGTGTGTGAGTGTGTGTTTTCCAAACAGATGGACCTACTCACACAAAGGAGAAGTAAACCCTTTACAGAGATACTCACTGAAGAGTTTTTGTAATAGTGAAGAAATGGATGTACCCCAATGTCCATAAATAAAGGACTAACTGAATAAGTTATGGTATATTCATTATAATAAAATACTACTTAGCTGCTAAGATGGATGATGTGGGCCTATAGGTACCAATAAGAAAAATGTCCAAAACATACTACCTAAAAAATTAAGATTCAGAAAATTAAATAGAGTATGCTACCATTGTGTAAAAACACGGCACGCATATTCTTGTGTATTGGGGGGTTCTACCAGCCATTCTAACTTCAGTAATTTGCTACAAAGACTCACGCGACCCAGCATGTGGTCATATCCATGGCTATGATTGATTGCAAGAAAAGATACAAAGCAAATTAAGGAAAAGGAAAAGGCACATAGGACAAGGTATGGAGGAAACCAGGCACAGGCTTCCAGAGTCTTGTCTCTTTGGGATTATGCAAGATGTACTACTTCTTCCAGCTTCAAATTGTGATAACACTTACGAAGAGTTATAAACTAGAGAAGCTCATTAGAGACTCAGTGCTCAGGGGTTTTATGGCGGCTGTAACTTAGGCACCCTCTGTCTAGCATGTGTCATGCTAGACTCCTAGAAGGAGTCCATTCAGCAGAAATCACATTGCTGGCACAGTCTAGGCACAGTAAGCTGCTCTTATTAGTGAGGGTATGGTGGCAATATACCTAAAATCCAAGTTTTCAAACCCTAGCTGATGACCTACCTTGCAAGTTGGTCTTTCTAAGTATAGTAGTCTCAGGCCTGCCATGTGAACTCTTTTCTGCACAGCTTATATACAGCATATCTTGGGAACAATAAAATAAAAAAAAAAATCAGTGACTGTGGTTTCTTCAGAAAAAGTAATTGAGTGATTAAAGAACAGGAGATTTGATTGGAGAAGTTCTCTTCAACATTTATTCTTTTCTATCCTTTTTTTTTGTCATGTGTTACTTATTTGAAAAATAAAAACAGATGATAAAAAAATCAGTTTATTTTGTTAAAGTACATTTTTATCTCCTTTTCTATTTTACTACATTTTTCTCTTTGTATATTTTATTAGCATTTTTATTTTTATTTTTCTATTTAAATATTAGGCTTAATAGGGAACAGGAATTTCAAGGGCAGGCAGTTGACCCTATAGATCAGGCAAGATGGCTGTGTAGGGCAAATCAGTGCTTTTTAACCTTTCTCATGTGGTGGAACATCTACAAAATAATACTATGTCTACTGGCACTGGGATATACATGTATGGCTTCTCATGAATAAGACAACCAGCCTATGGGCCAGCTGTGTCAGTCTATCCTTGGGAATATAGACATAACTTATAACTCATTTTCTTTTTGAGACAAGTACTTGCACACTCACCCAGGCTGGAGTGCAGTGTTGTGAACATGGCTCTCTGCAGTCTCAACCTATCAGTCTCAGGTGATCCTGACCTTCCCGTCTCAAGTGATCCTCCTGCCTCAACCCCCAGAGTAGCTGGGACCACAAGCAGCTGCCACCATGCCTGGCTATTTAAAAAAAAATTTTTTTTTGTAGAGATGGGCTCTTGCCATGTTTCCCAGGTTGAACTTGAACTCCTAGGCTCTAGCATTCCTGCTGCCTCTACCTCTCAAAGCGCTGGGGTTACAGGCATGAGCCACTGTGCCCAACCCCATAACTCATTTACGAAACCTGTTCACCCTATCCTTAGAATGAAGAAGCTCTGCTTACTTCTCTAGTAAATTTCTGCTTTTATCTTAGATACTCCTCTTGACTTTAAATATTGCCTTCTGGTAAAGATAAACTGTCTATCCAAATAGAATGTTCCAAGGTTCCTTATGATTTCGCCGTGTTCCTCATTCATCTGAAAATAGGATTCCTTGACTTAATTATGTGTCAACTTGATTGGGTTAATGAATGACCAGATAGCTGGCAAATCATTTCTGGATGTGTATGTGAAGGTGTTTCCAGAAGAGATGAGCATCTGAGTTAGTAGACTTGGGAAAGAAGATAGCCATCACCAATATGTGTGGACATCATCCAAACTGTTGAGGACCCAAATTGAATAAAACGGTGGAGGAAGAAGAAATTTGTTTTCTTTGCATGAGCTGGGACATCCATCTTCTTTTGCCCTTGAACATCACTTATCCTGCTTCTTGAGCCTTCAGATTTGGACTAAGACATATACCATTGGCTCTGATGGTCCTCAGGCCTTTCGGCTTAGGCTGGAACTAGATTACTGGCTTTCTTGGTTCTTCAGCTTGCACACAGCAGATGCTGAGACTTATTGCCTTACATAATTTGAGAAGTAATCACTCATAATAAATATCTTTCTATATATCTATAAAAAACTTGTTCATTCTGTTTCTCTAGAGAAACCTAATACGTTGCTTTTTCTCTAATCTCCTACATTTTCTTACCCGCAGTCCTTTGTTTAGGCTCTTATTTCCAGGAAAGTTTGTCTCTTTTATAATCCATCTGATAAATTTATACCTGTTTTTCAATGTCCAAATTAAATTATCTCTCCTCCATAGATTCTTCGCTAAGCCATTTAGAATTAATTTCTTTGATATCCAACTACACATGTTATTACTCCTAATTGTAGTACTTTTCTTCTTGGGCGTTAGCAAATCACTTCCCTATTGTGGTTTCCAGGGGTTCTTCCTTCTGTGGACATTAGAATAGCCAGTGAACTTCCTAGCAACTCATGCCAGATGAAAGGACTCAGCCTTCCTGAGGCTGTGGTTCAGGTGATCATGTGAGGTAGGGCCCAGGCTTCCTCTAGGGATTCTAATATGGACCTAAGATTGAGCACTCCTCACAATTTTTCTAATTTTCAAGAAAACTGTGTTATTTTCATTACTTATTTGGAGACTTTAATCATTTAATTCAGTTTATGAAATCATTTAGGTCTGATCACTTAAACTTTGGAGAAGTTTAGACAAACTCACTATTCTGCAAAAGTGATGTTAAGTCCTGCTTTCTAAAAATGACAGAACTACATACATTATACACAATTTCTAGCTTATATTATCAGGGAGAAGAAAGGTTCTTGTTGAACTATTTGCTTTGGCAGGTAGGCTTGAATTTATTTCAATTAATTTCTATGAAAGTTTATATTTAAGCTTTTATTTATGGTAGAAAAAAGGCAACCAGAGCTTCAAATAATTAGATTGGAATTTCAGTTGTCAGATGACTTTTTTCTTATCCTTTGCAATTTATCAATACCATGACGATAAAAATGTGAAAAAGCCTAATTTTTATATTTAGGTTGCAAACATTAGAATAGCTGAAGAAGATTTCTACTGCATGGTAAAGATTAAGAGATTTTTCAATTTTTGTTTTGAAAATTTTTATAGCTACAGAACAAAAATTTTGGTGACTTATAATGTGCCAACTTCTCAGAATCCCTGTCTCTATATGACTTCTGGTTATTCCTGACCAGAAAAGACATTTGTACATGATTTTTGGAAAGCAGATATGAAGCGCAAACTCTAATTTTTGTGCACTAAAGTTTCCACAAGATGCTAGGCACAGGTTGTTACTGAATTGGAAAGCTTGCTTTGTGGGAAAGGCAGCTCCTGGACCTGCCTCTTCCCCCCATCCTGCTGGCTTTCTTTCCTGTTTTGTCTTCTCCATCTCTGGGCGAGTATGTATACAGCTCTGAGGTGAATTCAGCAAGTTTCCTGCAGGTCAGCCATGGTAATGAGCCTGAAGATGCTAAGAGACAGATGGACTACTAGTTCATCCTCAAAGCTTCCAGTTTGCTCTTATTCTTGTTCATAACCAGCTTTTCTTCTCAACTGCCAGTCTGGCTGATGCATAACAACTTCAGTCTTAATACTAGAGGAAGCAGCAGCAGCAGTGCACATAAACTGCTCCCTCAGGTCCAACAAGGGCAAAGTTTGAACCTCTGGATCCCTTATTCTACATCACACATGGTGGGTCCATAGCTCTGATCCAACCCTGATGAATATAATATTAGTTTGGTGCAAAAGTAATTTTGCCATTTAATGGCAAAAACGGCAATTACACTTGCACCAACTTAATAACACATGTCTTCACCATCTGTAGTCAATAATTACTAATGTTTTATTATGTTTGTCTTTTCTATTTGCCTACCTTGTTTTGGAGGTAAGAGGCTGGGCTGTTTGTAAATAAACTATAGAAATCATGATACTTTATGCCTAAGTACTTTAGCATGCATTTTCTATTTATGATATTATCCTTGTAACTACAATATCATTATCACACAAAATTATTGCAAATCTCCTAAATCATCTAGTCCTTAGACCATATTCCAATTTTCTTAATTATCTACAATGTATATTTTTTAGCTGCTTTCTCTAATTAGTCAAGTTTCTGATTGAAGTTCACATATGCATTTGGTTATGCTGCCTTAGTCTCTTTTAATCTAGAACAGTCATCTAAATTTTTATTCCCCCAGTGGCATTGGAATTCCACCTGCTGAATTTGTGTATTATTTCCTCATGGGGTTCTTCTATTCTCTGTACTTTCTATATATTGAAAATTAAGTCTAAGGCTTAATTCAATGCAGTTTAAATCTTTTCAATGAGAATACTCTAAAGACAAAATTGTGTTTTTCCTTTTGTACTACATCAGAAGACACCTATCATGTGATCCCCCTAATTATTAGTGATGCAATGATTAACCAGTTGGTGAAGGTAGTGATCTCCAGATTACTCCTTTGGGGGTAGATTTTCTTCTTTGTAATTAGCAAGTTATCTGTGGAATGATGCTTTTGTACCATGTGAATATCCTATATATATATTTACCTAATAGTTTTATAATGCATTGATGATGCAACACTTGCCTGGTTCAGTTTTCTCACTGACTGTTGTAAGATAGTGATTTTCTAACTGTATCATTTTCCCAATATTTACTAGTTTGTATTCTGTTAAAGAAAAGCTTATCCTTATTAAGAGATTTATGATCACTATAAAAAAAGTGTTTTTCTGTTGTTAGAAATTTGCCTAATAGCAAATAATGGTGATTGGTTGTTCAAAAATTATGTCTTTAATCTTCTTATATACGATATTAGATGGACCAGGTGTAAAATATGTGAAGGAAGCAGGAATAAATTTTTAGTGATACCCAGGTAGATGAGTATTCAAGCTAAGCTTTAGGGGAAGATTTATTGGACAGTTTTGGGTGGTAAAAATATTATTGTATAAAATTTCAATGAGATTCTGAACTATGGTTTTCCTTGGATATTTTAAGTCTATCTGTTATAATGGCTCTGGAGAGACATACTTATAAGGCTTCTGTGCTCTTTCTTGATTGATTTCTAGGTTTCTAAAGACATCTTTTGAGATAGATGGTACCTAGCATATGCAGAGTGGTCATAGAATATTTATGCTGAGGGATTCTTAAGTTCTAGTGAGGCCTCTTTATCAGGAGAAATCCGTCAATATTACTCTCATGAAACCTCTGGTGGAAATTAGTCCAACTTCAAGCAACAGACTGGGTTTTCCTGATGAGGAAATTGGACAAAACAGCACAATGAGGATCACTTTTGAAATTTTAACATGATGAAATCTTAAGTGAATGAGATTTTTCTTTTCTTTGAGGCAGGCTACTTTGAAAAATATTCTAATATAATAGTTTTAAAATTAACATATGTAAATTATATAAATTATAATCACTGTCCTTAATTATATCTCTTGGCAAAATATTCAAGATGCAATAAATATTTATTGAATCTTGTAGAAAACTTTAGGGCTATATGGTTATTTTGAAAAATTAAACCCAACGAGCAATTTTTTTTTTTTGAGACAGAGTCTTGCTCTGTCGCCCAGGCTGGAGTGCAGTGGCACAATCTCGGCTCACTGCAAGCTCCACCTCCCGGGCTCACTCCATTCTCCTGCCTCAGCCTCCGGAGTAGCTGGCACTACAGGTGCCCGCCACCATCCCTGGCTGATTTTTTGTATTTTTAGTAGAGGTGGGGCTTCACTGTGTTAGCCAGGATGGTCTCGATCTCCTGACCTCGTGATCCAGCCGCCTCGGCCTCCCAAAGTGCCGGGATTACAGGTGTGAGCCCCTGTGCCCGGCCTCAATGAGGAATTTTTAAAAAGCAGCCAGAATAATGATATTTAAGGAAAATTACAGTTAGAAATACACACACACACACACACACATTTTTGATACATAACACAAATATATGGACACATTAAACCTAAGCTTTCTTATCTATGAGCCCAGATTTTTTTTTTAACTGGGGGACTGCACTGATGCAAAAATGAAAATTTTGGTAGAAAAGTGGAGGATATAGGAGAATGGGGTGACAAATGAGATAACATTGCTAGCACTAGTCCCCTAGGAGCCAAAAAAGTATGGCTCTTGATCTTTGCCTGTTCCTGCTGCTATAACAAAATACCTGAGACCAGGTGATTTTAAGAAGAGAAGTTTATTCCTTAAAATTATAGAGGCTAGAAAGTCCAAAATCAATGCACCAGTTGATTTGGTGTCTGATGAGGTCTATTCTCTGCTTCTGAGATGTTGTGTTAATGCTGCATCCTCACAGGGCAGAAGGGGCAAATGTGTGTCTTCACATAGTGGAAGGCAGAAGTGGCAAAAGGGGATGAATGCTGTGTTCTCACATGGATGAAGAGACAGAAGGGCCAGGCAGCTCTCTGAAGCCTCTTTTATTGATAGCATTAATCTTATTCATGAGGATGTAGCCTTCATTATATAATGACCTCTCAAAGGCCCCACCTTTTAATACCATCACCTGGATGTTTAAGTTCCAGCATAAGAGTTTTAGAGGAATACATACATTCAAACCATCACACCCTCTTAAGGTTAACACATTAAAGTAGGCCATCTGTTTCCAATATGAGTTGTAAGACATCAGTTGTGATATATTGGAGCCTCTAAATCTCAAAACTATGTGGGTTTGGGCCTTAAATTTTTACAATCCTTATACTTAAGAAACAAAAAGATAAAATAATAAAATAAAAATGGCATCTCTAAAGACCTCTAGTGAAAGTTACAAACATATCACCCTATATTGAAGTCTAAATTACTTATGGCAGGACCATGTCTGTGCTTGGCATACACAGAGATATTTTATTTTGAAAATGGGGCTCAGAGACAAAAAGCCTCACCTAGAACATAAGAAAATTTAATACCATGAAAAAGAATCAGGAAATAAGAGGAAAAAATTATACCCTAGGAATTGACTAATGCAGAGAAATCACAATGAGTACGTTTATGTTATTAGATAATAGAGTTCATATAACAATAAGCTTATGAAAGTAAACAAGGAGAAGTAAAAGTAGCCAAACAGTATTTCTAGAAATGAAAAATCAGTGATACCAAACTCAGTGATAGGTTAAACGGTAGACTGGATATAGTCAAAGAAAAAATAGTAAATTTGAAGATATATTTGAGGAAATCACTCAAAATTCGCCACAGAAATATGGAGATGGAAAATATGAAAAAGAAATTAAGACACAGAAATATGTCTACTAGAAACCTAAGAACTAGAGAAGAAAGAGACTAGGGAGAAGAAGATATTCAAAACTATTAAGGCTCATCATTTTCCAAGACTAATGTCAACGCTAGTTAAGGAAATCAGAAAGGACACAATGAAAAACGTGAATATTCTCATTCAGATTGTGTATGGCCACCCAGAATATCTGGTCATTTAATTTTTCTGCTTAACACCTGTGACATAATAAGAAAAACATATGTGGTCTCCTGCCACACAGTTTCTGAAACACTTGTATCTTCTTAAGTTATAGGGGTAAAAGGAGCATTATTTGTTTTTCATAAGCCCCTTTCAGTCATACCTGAGTTCATGCTAATGTGATCACTCTTGGTTGGGGTGTGGCTGGGGGATGTGTCCTAGAAAGCTTCCAGAGGAGCCAACCATGTGTTTAGAAGGTTGGAACTTTCCACCTCATCCCCTGACTTTTTGGAAGGAGGGAGGGGCTGGAGCTTGAGTTCAGTCAGTAATGGCCAGTGATTTATTCAATCATGCTGACATAGAGCCTCCATAAAAAATCCTAAACAATGAAATTCAGAGAGCTTCTGGGTTAGCAAATGCATCTCTCTGCAGGGAAGGCACTCCAACTCCATGGGAAGAGAAGCTCCTGTGCTAGAGACTCTTTCAGACCTCGCCCTAGGTACCTCTTCATCTGATTGTTCATTTGTGTTTCTTATGTTCTGGGGTACATGTGCAGGATATACAGGTTTGTTACATAGGTAAATGTGTGCCATGGTGGTTTGCTGCACTTGTCAACCCATCACCTAGGTACCAAGTCCAGCTTGCATTAGCTATTTTTCCTGATGTTCTCACCCTTCCTGCCCTCCCCCAACAGGCCCCAGTTTGTGGTGTTCCCCTCCCTGTGTCCATGTGTTCTCACTGTTTAGCTTCCACTTATAAGTAAGAACATGTGGTGTTTGGTTTTCTGTTCCTGCATTAGTTTGCTGAGGATAATGGCTTCCAGCTTTATCCAGTTCCTTGCAAGACATATGATCTCATTCCTTTTTATGGCTGCACAGTATTACATGGTTGTGTATGCACCACATTTTCTTTATCCAGTCTATCATTGATGGGCATTTGGGTTGATTCCATGTCTTTGTTGTGAATACTACTGCAATGAACATACGTGTGCATATATCTTTATAATAGAATGATTCCTTTGGGTATATACCCAGTAATAAGATTGCTGGGTCAAATGGTATTTCTGGTTCTAAATCTTTGAGGAATCACCACACCATCTTCCACAATGGTTGAACTAATTTAGCTTACCACCAACAGTATAAAAGCATTTCAATTTCTCTACAACCTTGTCAGCATCTATTTCTTACCATTTTAATAATTGCCATTCTGACTGGCATGAGATGGTGTCTCATTGTGGTTTTGATTTGCATTTCTCTCAGTGACGTTGAGCTTTTTCTTCATATGGTTGGCGACATGCATGTCTTCTTTTGAGAAGTGCCTGTTCGTATCCTTTGCCCACTTTTTAATGGGGTTGTTTTATTCTCATAAATTTGCTTAAGTTCCTTGTAGATTCTGGATATTAGACCCTTTTCAGGTGAATAGAGTGTAAAATTTTTCTCCAATTCTGTAGGTTGTCTGTTCCCCCTGATGATAGTTTCTTTTGCTGTGCAGAAGCTCTTTAGTTTAGTTAGATCCCATTTGTCAATTTTTGCTTTTGTTGCAATTGCTTTTGGCAATTTCAACATAAAGTCTTTGCGCATGCCTATGTCCTGAATGGTGTTGCCTAGATTTTCTTCTATGGTTTTTATAGTTTGGGGTTTTACATTTAAATCTGTAATCAATCTTGAGTTAATTTTGTATAAGGTGTAAGGAAGGGGTCCAGTTTCAATTTCTGCATACGATTAGCCAGTTCTCCCAGCACCATTTGTTAAATAGGGAAACCTTTCCCCATTGTTTGTTTTGTCAGGTTTGTCAAAGATCAGATGGTTGTAGACGTGTGGTTTTATTTCTGAGTTCTCTATTCTGTTCCATTGGTCTATGTGTCATGTACCAGTACCATGTACCAGTACTATGCTGTTTTGGTTACTGTAGCCTTGTAGTATAGTTTGTAGTTGGGTAGTGTGAAGCCTCCAGCTTTGTTCTTTTTGCTTAGGATTGTTCCTGGCCATATGCGCTCTTTTTTGGTTCCACATAGATTTTAAAATAGTTTTTTCTAGTTCTATGAAGAATGTCAATGCTAGTTAAGGAAATCAGAGAGGACACAAACAGATGGAGAAACATTCCACTCTCATAGACAGGAACAATCAATATTGTGAAAATGGTTATACTGCCCAAAGCAATTTATAGATTCAATGCTGTTCATTTGTATTTTTATAATATCCTTTATAATAAACTGGTAATAGTAAAGTGTTTCCCTGAGTTCCATGAGGCTTTATGACAAATTATTGAGCCTGAGCTCAATAAGCTTGTGGGAAGCTTTGAATTTTGTCCAAGTCAGACAAAATGTAGGTAACCTGGTGTATTCATTTTCATGCTGCAATAAAGACATAGCCAGGACTGGGTAATTCACAAAAGAAAGAGTTTTAATTTGACTCAGTTCCCCATGGCTGGGGAGGCCTCACAATCATGGTGGAAGGCAAAAGGCATGACTTACATCAAAGTGGGCAAGAGAGAGAATGAGAATCATGTAAAACAGGTTTCCCCTTATCAAACCATCAGATCTCGTGAGACTTATTCACTACCCTGAGAACAGTATGGGAGAAACCACTCCCATGATTCAATTATCTCCCACCAGGTCCTTCCCACAATACATGGGAATGATGGGAATACAATTTGAGATTTGAGTGGGGACACAGAGCCAAAGCATATTATTCTGCCCCTGGCCTCTGCCAAATCTCATGTCCTCACATCTCAAAACCAATCATGGCTTCCCAACAGTCCCCCAAAGTTTTAACTCATTTCAGCATTAACTCAAAAGTCCACAGTCCAAAGTCTTATCTGAAACAAGACAAGTCCCTTCCACCTATGAGCTTATAAAATCAAGAGCAACTTAGTTACTTCCTAGATACAGTGGGGGTACAGGCATTGGGTAATACAGCCATTTTAAAAGGGAGAAATTGGCCAAAGCAAAGGAGCTACTGGCCGTCTGCAAGTTCAGAATTTAGCAGGGCAGTCAAATCTTAAAGCTCCAAAATGATCTCCTTTGACACCATGTCTCGCATCTGGGTCACACTGATGCAAGAGGTGGGTTCCCATGGTCTTGAGCAGCTCCACCCTTGTGGCTTTGCAGGGTACAGCATCCCTCCCAGCTGCTTTCACAAGCTGGCATTAAGTGTCTAGGGCTTTACCAGGCTCACAGTGCAAGCTGTTGGTGAATCTACCATTCTGGAGTCTGGAGGATGGTGGCCTTCTTCTCACAGCTCCACTAGGTGGTGCACTAGTAGAGACTCTGTGCGGGGGCTCAGACCTCACATTTCCCTTCCACAATGCCATAGTAGAGGTTCTCCATGCTGCAAACTTCTGCCTGGACAGCCAGGCGTTTCCATACATATTCTGAAATCTAGGCAGAGGTTCCCAAACCCCAATTCTTGATGTCTGTGTACTCTCAGGCTCAATACCACATGAAGGCTGCCAAGGCTTGAGGCTTCCACCCTCTGAAACCATAGCCTGACCTCTATGTTGGCTCCTTTCAGCCATGGCTGGAGTGACTGGGACACAGGGCACCAAGTCCCTTGGCTGCACACAGCACTCAGACCCTGGGCCCAGCCCACAAATCCACTTTTTCCTCCTAGGCCTCCAGGCCTATGATGGGAGGGGCTGCTGTGAAGACCTCTGACATGCCCTGGAGACATTTTCCCATGGTCTTGGGGATTAACATTGGGCTTCTCATTACTTATGCAAATTTCTGTGGCCAGCTTGAATTTCTTCTCAGAAAATGGGATTTTTTTTTTCTATCACATTGTCAGGCTGCCTATTTTCTGAACTTTTATGCTCTGCTTCCCTTATAAAACTGAATGCCTTTAACAGCACCCAAGTTACATCTTGAATGCGTTGTTGCTTAGAAATTTCTTCTGCTAGATACACTAAATCATCACTCTCAAGTTCAAAATTCCACAAATCTCTAGGGCAGGAGCAAAATGCTGCCAGTTCTCTTTGCTAAAACATAACATTACCTTTGCTCCAGTTCCCAACAAGTTCCTCATTTCCATTTGAGACCACCTCAGCCTGGACTTTATTGTTCATATCACTATCACCATTTTGAGCAAAAGCATTCAACAAGTCTCTAGGAAGTTTCAAACTTTACCACATTTTCCTGTCTTCTTCTGAGCCCTCCAAACTGTTCCATCCTCTGCCTGTTAGCCTGTTCCAAATTTGCTTCCACATTTTGGGGTATCTTCTCAGCAGCGCACCACTCTACTGGTACAAATTTGCTGTATTAGTTCATTTTCACACTGCTGATAAAGGCATACCCAAGACTTGGTAATTTACAAAAGAAAAACGTTTAATTGAACTCACAGTTCCACTTGGCTGGGGAGGCCTCACAATCATGGAAGAAGGCAAAAGGCACATCTTACATCTCAGCAGGGAAGAGAGAGAATGAGAATCAAGTGAAATGGGTTTCTGCTTATTAAACCATCAGATCTTGTGAGACTTATACACTACCATGAGAACAGTATGGAAGAAACTGCCCCCCCATGATTCAATTATCTCCCACTGGGTCCCTCCCACAACACGTGGGAATTATGGGAGGACAATTCAAGATGAGATTTGGGTGGGGACACAGAGCTAAACCATATCACCTAGGAACTCGCTACTTGCAATGGAAGTGGGCAGCAGTTTTGTAGGATTGAGCCCTTAGCCTGTGAGGTCTGTGATAATTCCTGGTAGTTAGTTTCAGAATTTAATTAATTAGAGGACAACCAGTTGGTTTCCTCTGAGAATTGAAGAATTGTTTGGCATGGAAATCCCATACATTTGATGCCAGAAATGGCTTCTGAGCGTAGAAGCAGTTTTTTTTCTGTTTAACACCTTTCAATAGCTCTTTGTGGTCCATAAATAAGATCAAATTTCCTTAGCATGACATGTGATCAGATCCCTACTCTGTCTCCTTTGATCTTCATCTCTTATCACTCCCAGCCTCCCCAAACATCTTATGGTTAATCCATTACCAATCTCTTTTTCATCTCCTTCCCATTATTCATGATGTCTGCATTGAGTAGAATTCCCTCTTCCTCACTTACTGTCATCTCTCATCTCATCCCACCTTTCCCAGTACCTGCTAGGTGAGGCCTTGGCTACTTTTCCTTTAATGATAATTTTAGAGATCATCTTCTACAGATTAACTATCCCTGCACTCAGTGTTCAGGTTTTGAGGCCTTCTTACGGGATGACTTAACCAGAATGTGGAGAATCTCACTGAACTTTAAGAGACCAAGGAACTGCTAAGTTATTGAATAAATTATGCACATAGGACATTAAATTACCTAGAATTTTTAAAAATTCAATAGCTTTAGGGGTACAAGTGGTTTTGGTTGCATTTATGAATTGTATAGTGTTAAAGTCTGAAGTATTAGTGCACCTGTCATTTGATTAATTTACATTGTACCAAATAGGTAGTGCTTTCTCCCTCACTTCCCCACCCTACCCCCTCCTGAGTTTCCAATGCCCATCATACCCCTCTGTATGCCTTTGTGAACCCGTATCTTAGTTCCCATTTATAAGTAAGAACATATGGTATTTGAATTTCCATTCCTGAGTTACTTCACTTAGAATGATAGCCTCCAGTTTCATTCAAGTTACTGCAAAACACATCATTTCATTCTTTTTTATGGCTGAGTGGTATTCCAGGGTGTATATATACCATATTTTCTTTATCTACTCATCAGTTGGTGGGTACTTAAGTTAGTGCCATGTCTTTGCAATTGTAAATCGTGCTGTGATAAACATACATGTGCAGGTGTCTTTTTTGATATAGTAATTTCTTTTCTTTTGGGTGGATAGTCAATAGTGGGATTTCTGGATCAAATGGTAGATCTACTTTTAGTTCTTTGAGAAATCTACATACTGTTTTCCATAGAGGTTATACTAATTTACATTCCCACCAGCAGTGTATAATTATTCCCTTTGCACCACATCTATGTCAACATTTATTGTTTTTCAACTTTTTATAGTGGCCATTCTGGCTAAAGTAAGGTGGTATCTCATAGTGGTTTTAATTTGCATTTCTCTAATTATTGATGATGTGGAGTTTTTTTCATATGTTTATTGGCCATTTGTATCTTGTTTTAAAATTTTTTTATTTTAGATTTAGGAGAACATGTGCAGGTTTTTTATATAGGTAAATTACATGTCACAGGGGTTTAGTGTACAGTTTATTCCATTGCCCAGGGAATAAGCATAGAACCTGACAGGTAGTTTTTCAGTCCTCACCCTCCTTCCACCCTCCATCCTCAAGTGGGCCTTGGTGTCTGCTTCATTTTTTGTGTCTGTACGTACTCAATGTTTAGTTCCCACTTATAAGTGAGAACGTGCAGTATTTGGCTTTCTGTTCCTGTGATAGTTCATTTGGGATAATGGCCTCCAGCTACATCCATATTGCTGCAAAGGAAATAATCACATTTTTATGACTGCATGGTATTCCATGGTGTATATGTACCAATTTTTAAAAATCCAGTCTACCATTGATGAGCATTTAGGTTGATTCCATGTCTTGCTTATTGTGAACAGTGCTGCAATAAACATATGCGAGCAGGTATCTTTATGGTAGAATAATTTATATTCCTTTGGGTATATACACAATGATGGCATTGCTGGGTTAAATGGTAATTCTGTTTTGAATTCTTTGAGAAATCACCAAACTGCTTTCCCCAATGGATGAACTAATTTACATTCCCACCAGCAGTGTATAAGCATTTCTTTTTCTCACCAACTTTGCCAGCATCTGTTATTTTTTGACTTTTTAGTAATAATCATTCTGAGTAGTGTGAGATGCTATCTAATATTGGGTTTGCTTTGCATTTCCCTAGTGATCAGTGATGTTCAGCATCTTTTTATATCTTTGTTGGCTGCATGTAAATCTTCTGAAAAGCATTCCTGTTCTTTGCCCATTTTTTAATGAAGTTGTTTTGTGCTTGTTAAATTAAGTTCCTTATAGATTCTGGCTATTAGACCTTTGATGGATGCATAGTTTGCAAAATTTTTTCCTATTCTGTAGGTTGTCTATTTACTCTGGCAGTTAATTTTGTTGTGCAGAAGCTTTTAGTTTAATTAGGTCCTGTTTGTCAATTTTTGTTTTTGTAGCAATTGCCTGTGGCACCTTCATCATGAAGTATTCGTCAGGTCCTATGTCCAGAATGGTATTTCCTAGGTTATCTTCCAGAGTTTTTATAGTTTTAGGTATTACATTTAAGTCTTTAATTCATCTTGTGTTTACTTTTGTATATATGGTGTGAGGAAGGGGTCCAATTTTAATCCTCTGTATATGGCTAGCCTGTTATCACAGCACCATTTATTGAGTAGCAAGTCTTTGCCCCATTGCTTGTTTTCATTGATGTCATCAAAGATCAGATGGTTGTAGGTTTGTGGCATTATTTCTGGGGTCTCTATTCTTCTCCATTGGTCTATGTGTCTGTTTTTCTACCAGTACCGTACTCTTTTGTTTACTGTACCCTTTTAGTGTAGTTTGAAATTGGGTAGCATGATGTCTCCAGGTTGGTTCTTTTTGCTTAGGATTGCCTTAGCTATTTGGGCTTTATTTTTGGTTCCATATGAATTTTAAAATAGCTTTTTTCTAATTCTCTGAAAAATATCATTGGTAAATTGATAGGAATCACATTGAATCTGTAAATTTCTTTGAGCAGTATGAACATTTTAACAATGTTGATCCCTCCTATCCATGAATATGAAATGCTTTCCATTTGTGTCATCTCTGATTTCTTTGAATAGTGTTTTGTAATTTTCATCATAGAGATCTTTCACCTCCCTCATTAGCTGTATTCCTAGGCGGTTTATTCTTTTTGTGACTATTATAAATGGGATTGAATTTTTGATTTGGCTTTCAGCTTGGATGTCGTTGGTGTATAGGAATGCTACTAATTTTTGTATATTGAGTTTGTATCCTGAAACTTTGCTGAAGGTGTTAATTAGATCAAAGAGCTATGGGAAGAAATCATGGGGTTTTCTAGGTATAGAATAATATAGTCTGCAAACAGGGATAGTTTCACTTCCTATTTGGATGACTTTTATTTCTTTTCTTGCTTGATTGTTGTAACCAGGGTGTCTAGTACTATGTGGCATAGAAGTGGTGAGAATGAGCATCCTTGTCTTCTTTCAGTTTTTATGGGAAATGCTTCCAGCTTTTGCCTCTTTAGTATGATGTTGGCTGTGGCTTTACCATAAATGGTTCTTATTATTTTGAGGTATGTTCCTTCAATGCCTTGTTTCTTGAGGGTCTTTTTCTTTATAACATGAAGATGTTGAATTTTATCAAAAGGCTTTTCTGCACCTATTAATTACGTGGTATTTGTTTTCAGTTCTGTTTATGTTATGAATCACATTTATTGATTTGCATATGTTGAACCAACCTTGCATATCAGGGATAAAGCCTACTTGATCGTTGTGGATTAGGTTTTAGATGTGCTGCTGAAGTCAGTTTGCAGTATTTTGGTGAGGATTTTTGTGTCTATGTTCATTAAGAATACTGAAGTTTTCTTTTTTTGTTGGTGAGAGCATGTAGTTGTTATAATTTTAGTTTTTTAAAAATTTGCTGAGGATTGTTTCATGACTAATTGTGTGGTTGACTTTAGAGTATGCCATGTGTAGATGAGAAGAATTTATATTCTGTTGTTTTGGGGTGGAGAGTTCTGTAGATGTC
This sequence comes from Homo sapiens, assembly GCF_000001405.40. Classification (NCBI taxonomy): domain Eukaryota; kingdom Metazoa; phylum Chordata; class Mammalia; order Primates; family Hominidae; genus Homo; species Homo sapiens. The sequence continues at coordinate 104,196,307 of NC_000006.12, read as the reverse complement.
TATTAGGTCCATTTGGTCAAGTGTCAACTTTAGGTCTTGAATATCTTTGTTAGCTTTCTGCCTCAATGATCTGTCTGATATTGTTAGTGAGGTGTTAAAATCTCCCACTATTATTGTATGGTTGTCTAAGTGTCTTCAAAGGTCTGTGAGCACTTGCTTTCTTTATGAATATGAGTGCTCATATGTTGGGTGTGTATTTATTTGGAATAGTTGGGTCCTCTTGTGGAGGTGAATGCTTTACTATGATGTTATATCCTTCTTTGTTTTTTAATTTTGCTGGTTTAAAGTCTGTTTTGTCTGAAATTAGAACAGCAATTTATGTTTGCTTGGTAGATATGTTTTCCTCCTTGTACCTTGAGCCTATGGGTGTCATTGCATGTGAGATGAGTCTCTTGATGACAGCATACAATTGGATCTTGCTTCTTTATCCAACTTTCTCTCCATGCATTTTACTTGAGGGCATTTAGCCTATTTAAATTCAAGGTTAATATTGATATGTGTGAATGTTATCCTGTCATTATGTTGTGGTCATTTAGAGGTATAAAAACTCTGTGTGTTTTTGAGTTGCCAGAGTTCTTGTGCTTCTTTCTCATCTGTGTTGGCTGATGTTCCTTCAATCTTTGAAGTTGCTGTCCTTTGGATGTTTTGTTGTTGTTGTTGTTTTTCTTTTTTGCTTTTATTTACTTTGATGCCCCCTGGTGACTTGATTTTGGTATAATGTGAATTCAGTCAACTGACTTCATATCTGGAAAATTTTCGTGGGCCAAGGCTCAGCTCAGCACTACTGGGCTGCGTGCTCTAACTCTGTGTGGCTGGTATCGAGTCCCCGGCTTAGTCCTCTGGCCCCTTGAGGTTAGAAACCTACTGTGTTGAAGGGGCCAAGGCATTCCCATGCCACTGGCCATAGCACTCTTAGGGGTGGTGCCAGCCAAAGCACTTTCTCAGTCTTGTGACAGCAGGATTTGTGCTCATTTGCACATGCCAGTGGAAGGGTGCACACTCATCAGCTAGGGTGGGGCACTAGTGGGCACAGGGCTGTAAGTCTCTGTGCATATGTGTACACCAGTTATACCATGGGGTGGGGGGAGGGGCAACTCTTTATATCTTCCTATGAGAAATGCTTATTCATGTCATCTGCCCACTTTTTGATAGGATTATACTTTTTTCTCACTGATTTGAGTTTCTTTTAGATTCTAAATATTAGTACTTTGTCAAATATAGTTTGCAAACAGTTTTCCATGCTGTGGGTTGTCTGTTTACTCTGATAATTACTGAAAATTTTAGTTTATGTAGGTCTTATTTATTTATTATTGTTTTTGTTACATTGCTTTTGGGGTCTTAGTAATAAATTCTGTGCCTAGGCCAAAGTCCAGAAGTTTTTCCTAGGTTTTCTTCTAGAATTTTTATGCTTTAACATCTTAGATTTTAAATCTTTAATGCATCTTGAGTTGATTTTTGTATATAGTGAGAGATAGGGACCCAGTTTTATTCTTCATGTGGCTATCCAGTTTTTCCAGCATTGTTTTTTGAATAGGGTGTCCTTTCCTCAACTTATGTTATTGTATGCCTTAAGATCAGTTGGTTGTAAGTATTTGACTTTAATTCTGTGTTCCATGTTCTGTTCCATTGGTCTAGGTATATGCTTTTATGACAATACTGTACTTTTTTTTTTTTTTTTTACTATAGCCTTGTAGTATAATTTGAAGTCAGGTAATATGGTGCCTCCAGATTTCTTCTTTCTGCTTAGAATTGCTTTGGCTACACAGGCTGTTTTATTGTTCCATGTAAATTTTAGCATTGTTTTTTCTCATTCTGTTATAAATGGTGTTAGTATTTTGATAGAAGTCACATTGAATCTGTAGATTGCTTTGGACAGTACGTTCATTGTCATTATGTTGATTCTTTTAATCGATGACCATGGGGTGTATTTCCATTTGTTTGTGTCATCTATTATTTCTTTCATCAGTATTTTGTAGTTCTCCTTGCAGAGATGTTTCACCTCCTTGGGTAAGTATATTCCTAGGCATATTTTAGCTATTGTAATAGTGATTGAGTTCTTGATGTGATTCTCATGAACAAATCATGTGATTCGTTCATTGTTGGCTAATAGCAGTGCTACTGATTGGTGTACAATGATTCTGTAACCTAAGAATTTACTGAATTCATTTATCAAATCTAGGAGCCTTTTGGAGGAGTCTTCAGGGTTTTCTAGATAAACAATTATATCATTGGAAAATAGTGGTAGTTTGACTTCCTCTTTTCCAACTTAGATGCCCGTTATTTCTTTTTCTTCCCTGATTGCTCTGGCTAGGACATCTACCAGTATATTGAATATAAGTGGTGAAAGTGAGCAGGTTTGTCTTGTTCCAGCTCTTAGGGGGAATGCTTTAAACTTTTCCCCATTCAGTGGGATGTTGGCTGTAGGTTTGTCATATATGGCTTTCATTATTTTGAGGTATGTTCCTTCAATGCCTAGTTTGTTGAATGTTTTCACTGTAAAGCAAATCTAGATTTTATTGAATTTTTTTGTATCTATTGAGATGATATGGCTTTGTTTTTAATTCTGTTTGTGTGACAAATCACATTTATTGATTTTTGAATATTGAACAATCTCAGCATCCCTGGGATGAAACCCCCTTGATTGTGGTAATTTTTTTTTTTTTTTTTGATGTGCTGTTGGATTTGGGTTGCTAGTATTTTGTTGAGGATTTTTACATCTATGTTAATCAAGGGATATTGGCGTGTAGTTTCCTTTTTGTTCTCTTCTTTCCTGGCTTTGGTATCAGGGTGGTACTGGCTTCATAGAATGAGTTAGGGAGGATTCCCTCTTTCTCAATATTTTGAAATCATTTAAGCAGGATTGGTACCAATTATTCTTTGAATGTGTGGTAGAATCTGGCTGTGAATCCATATAGCCCTGGGCATTTTTTTGTTGGCATTTTTTGTCTAAATTACTGATTCATTCTCACTGCTTGTTATTGTTCGTTCAGGATTTCTATTTCTTCCTGATTCAAGCTAGAAGGGTTGTATGTTTCCAGGAATTTATCCGTTTTCTCTAGATTTTCTAATTTGTGTTATAGATGTGTTCATTGTAGCCTCAAATGATCTTTTGTATTTCTGTGGTGTTTGTTGTAATGTCGCCATTTTCATTTCTAACTGAGGTTATTTGAATCTTCTCTCTTCTTTTCTTGGTTAATGTAGCTAATGGTCTGTTAATTTTGTTTATATTTTCAAAGAATCAATTTGTTGTTTCATTTATCTTCTGTATTGTCTTTTTTGATTAAAGTTTCTTTAGTTCTGCTCTGATCTTTGTTATTTCTATTCTGCTAGCTCTTGGTTTGGTTTGTTCTCATCGCTCTAGGTCCATGAGGTGTGGTGTTACATTGTCAATTTGAGATCTTTCAGACAGTTCGATGCAGGCGTTTAGCTCTATAAACTTTCCTTTTGGCACTGTTTTTGCTGTTTCCCCTTGGTTTTTATCCCCTTGTTATTCATTTCAAAGAATTTTAAATTTTTATCTCAATTTCATTGTTAATGCCGAGATCATTCAGTAGCAGATTCAATTTTCATGTATTACATAGTTTTGAGGGCTCTTTTTGGAATTAATTTCTAGTTTTATTTTTCTGTGGTTTGAGAAGATACTTGATATGATTTCGATTTTTAAAATTTATTGAGACTTGTTTTGATACTTATCATATGATCTATCTTGGAGAATGTTCCATGTGCCGAAGAGAAGAGTGTATATTTTATGTTTCTTGGGTAGACTGTTTTGTAAGTATCCATTTATTTTACAGTGTGATTAAGTTCAGTGTTTCTTTTTAACTTTCTGCCTCAATAATATATCTAGTGTTGATAGTGTAGTGCCGAAGTTCCCAAGTATTATTATATTGCTCTCTATCTCTTTTCTTAGGTCTAGTAGTAATTGTTTTATGAATCTGGGATCTCTAGAGTTAAGTGCATATACATTTAGGATTGTTTTATCTTCTTGTTGGATTGACCCTTTTATGATTATATAGTGACTTTTTTTGTCTATTTTTTTTTACTACTGTTGCTTTAAAGACTGTTTTGTTTGATATAAGAAGAGGCATCCCTGCTCACTTTTGGTTTAAATTTGTGTGGAATATCTTTTCCTACTCCTGCACTTTTTGTCTGTAAGAATCCTTATGTTAGATGTGTCTCTTGAAAACAGCAGATATTTGGTTTATAACTTTTTATCCTTTCTGCCAATCTGTATCTTTTCAGTGGAGCATTCAGGCCATTTAAATTCAATGTTAATATTAAGATGTGAGGTATGCTTCCAGTCAGATAGTTAATTGTTACCTAGTTCATTTTCTTCATTGTGTTACTGTTTTTTAGGCCCTGTGAATTTTATGCTTTCAGGAGGTTCTATTCTGCTGCATATCAACCTATCAATCTTCTGTTTCAAGATTTAGAACTCCTTTTAGTACGTTTTATATGCCTGATCAGATAGTGACAAATTCCCTCAGTATTTTCTTGCCTAAAAATGGCTTTATTTCTTTTTCATTGATAAAATGTAGTTTTTGTTGTTGTTGTTGTTTTGAGATGGAGGCTTGCTCTGTTGCCCAGGCTGGAGTGCAGTGGCGTGATCTCAGCTTACTGCAAGCTCCGCCTCCCGGGTTCATGCCATTCTCCTGCTTCAGCCTCCTGAGTAGCTGGGACTACAGATGCTTGCCACCATGCCCAGCTAATTTTTTGTATTTTTAGTAGAGGCAGGGTTTCACCGTGTTAGCCAGGATGGTCTCGATCTCCTGACCTCGTGATCCGCCTGCCTCTGCCTCCCAAAGTGCTGAGATTACAGGTGTGAGCCACCATAACTGGCCAAAATGTAGTTTTGCTGAATAAAATATTCTTGGCTGACACTAATTCTGTTTAAGGGGCTAAAGATAGCACTTCAGTCCCTTCTGGTTTGTAAAGTTTCTGCTGAGAAGTCTGATGTTAGTCTGATAGTTTTCCCCTTATAAGTTACCTGATACTTTTGTCTTGCTGCTCCTAGAATTCTTTCTTTCATGTTGCCTTTAGATAGCCTGATGACTATATGTTTTGGAAATGTCCTTTTTGCAATTAATCATCCAGGGGTTATTTGAGCTTTTTGTATTTCTAGGAAGGCCAAGAAAGTTTTCCTTGATTACTCCCTCAAATAAGTTTTCAAAACTTTCTGAACATATCAATCCTAACAATTTTAAATATATATGCACCTAACTCTAGAGCTCCCAGATTCATAAAACAATTACTACTAGACCTAAGCAAAAAGATAGATAGCAAGGTAATAGTAGTTGGGGACTGTAGTACTACAGTGACAACACTAGTTATATTATTGAGGTAAAACTTTTTGCTTTATTTGCTCCCTAAGTAACACTAATGATTCTTAGGCTTGCCTATGTTACATAATCCCATATTTCTTGGAGACTTTGTTCATCTCTTTTAATTCTTTTTTCTTTATTATTGTCTTACTGGATTAATTCAAAAGCCTTGTCTTTGAGCTCTGAAATTCTTACTTCTACTTGGTCTAGTCTATTTTTAAAACTTTCCAGTGAATTTTGTAATTCCCTAAATGTGTCTTTTATTTCCAGAAGTTCTAATTGTTTTTTCATTAAATTATCTCTTTAGACCTCGGTGTGTGATGTTCCCCTTCCTGTTTCCAAGTGTTCTCATCGTTCAATTCCCACCTATGAGTGAGAACATGCGGTGTTTGGTTTTTTGTCCTTGCGATAGTTTGCTGACGGTTTCCAGCTTCATCCATGTCCCTACAAAGGACATTAACTTACCCTTTTTTATGGCTGCATAGTATTCCATAGTGTATATGTGCCACATTTTCTTAATCCAGTCTGTCATTGTTGGACATTTGGGTTGGTTCCAAGTCTCTGCTATTGTGAATAGTGCCGCAATAAACATACATGTGCATGTGTCTTTATAGCAGCATGATTTATAATCCTTTGGGTATATACCCAGTAATGGGATTGCTGGGTCAAATGGTATTTCTAGTTCTAGATCCCTGAGGAATCGCCACACTGACTTCCACAATGGTTGAACTAGTTTACAGTCCCACCAACAGTGTAAAAGTGTTCCTGTTTCTCCACATCCTCTCCAGCACCTGTTGTTTCCTGACTTTTTGATGATCACCATTCTAACTGGTGTGAGATGGTATCTCATTGTGGTTTTGATTTGCATTTCTCTGATGGCCAGTGATGATGAGCATTTTTTCATGTGTCTTTTGGCTGCATAAATGTCTTCTTTTGAGAAGTGTCTGTTCATATCCTTCGCCCACTTGTTGATGGGGTTGTTTGTTTTTTTCTTGCAAATTTGTTTGAGTTCATTGTAGATTCTGGATATTAGCCCTTTTTCAGATGAGTAGATTGCAAAAATTTTCTCCCATTCTGTAGGTTGCCTGTTCACTCTGATGGTAGTTTCCTTTGCTGCGCAAAAGCTCCTTAGTTTAATTAGGTCCCATTTATCTATTTTGGCTTTTGTTGCCATTGCTTTTGGTGTTTTAGACATGAAATCCTTGCCCATGCCTATGTCCTGAATGGTATGGGAGGGGGGAGGGATAGCATTAGGAGATATACCTAATGTAAATGACGAGTTAATGGGTGCAGCACACCAACGTGGCACATGTATACATATGTAACAAACCTGCACGTTGTGCACATGTACCCTAAAACTTAAAGTATAATAAAAAAAGAGGGAGAGAGATAGAAGACTATAGTTTAAATATTACCAATTTCCAAGACTCACAAAGTATGCATTTTGCACAAATGTCAAAATTTAGTAAGCAAATCAGAACAATTTGGGAGATGGGCAGCAGGAGTGATTTTAAAGCTGCATCTGACCATATACACATCCTGTGGCCATTCTGTAGGATTAGCCAAGTTTTACAAATGAGAAAATATGGAAACATAAACATGAAAATGTTTCCCAAGGTCATGGTGAAGGCGGTAGTGGAGAGGATTAGGGGCCGAATGCTGTTTCTCCCGGGCCTATTTTTGAGCTACTGGACAACACAGCTTCCTGAATGCAGATGTTAAACAGGTTTTTGCCTTTAAAATAAAGGTTTAAAAGGTTAAAAAAAAATCTCTTTAGAAAATTTTTTGTTTGTATTCCTAATTTTTAAAAAATTTCTTCACGTTGATTCTTACAATTCTCTTGTATATCCGTGAGTAACTTAATAATCAACCTATAGAATTTTTTATCTGGTATTTCAAAAATTTCATCTCGGTTTCAGTACATTGCTGGAGACTTAGTATGATATTCTGGGGATGTTATATAAACTCTGTTTTTTCATATTGCCAGAAATATTTTTCTGGTTCCTTCTCATTTGGGTAAACTATTTCTAATTATTTTTGAATTTATTTTTGATTTGACTGTGTTTTTAAATTTCTTTCCCCTGTTGAGGATATGACAATAATGTTTATAGTTTATTGCAGCCTAATTTGGCTCTGGGTGCGTTCAGTGCTGAAGACTCTATGAGTTTGTTGGTTACAGAGAGTCTTGTAGGATGGTTTTTTTCAGTTGCTGGTTGTAGTAGTGATGTGTTTGGTATGTGAGTAGGTTCACTGTCTCCTGTGGAGTCAGAAGTGCAGAGGTCTCATGAAGCTTATGTTGTTCCCCAGTGATGTGCACTCACTCACTTATTTATTTATATTTTTCCCCAATATTTTATTCACTAGATTGAACAGTTTAGGCTTCAGGCCAGTTAAATGTTGTCCATGGTAAATAAAGCTGGCTAAAGCAGGTTGGTACATGCAATACCCAATGGTGGGCAGATGTCTCAGCCATAACAAAGGTGGCCAGGGGAGCTCAAAGTACAATGCATTGAGATCTTTTCAAGGGGAAGGGAGGGTGCCATCCCAGTTCTCCTACCAGTCTCCCGACTCCTACCAGGTCAGCAGGAAAGAGATCCTCTTCCTACTTCCACTCCCGATGCAGTGTTCCAGCTATTGAGATCAGACAGATGTCTGCTTTCATCTGCAGGAATGATGTCGTTCCACGTGGTGAGGGATTGTGACTTTCCCTCTCATACAAGCCTGAACCTGGAGGGCATTCCTTCTGTGGGGTTTCAGTCACCATGAAGTGTTCCAGAAAGGTTGTCTGCAGTTGCCCCCACACTGAGCTCCCATGGGAGAAACTCCAGCTGTGTTTGCAGTGGTGGATAAGGGGGAGAAGAAGTCTCCTTCTCCAAGACCCTTCATGAGGATCAAGGCTGCTTGTCTATTGGGGTAGAGCTGTAGACTTTCCCCAGTGAGCCCAGCAATGCCCCTGTCTCTCTGCTGAGAGAAACTTCTCACAAGAGAGAAGTTCTGGGACTGAGGGCCTGCATCTGGATTCTCTTGTCACACAGGGTGCTCCCTTGTGGTGCACTTCCCCTTCCCCTAGGATGAGAAATCCCTGAGGGCCAGATTTCTGTGAATGCTGCTGTTGCTCTGGGTCTAGCCACCCAGCAGGGCTGCCACATTCCAGGCTGGTGATGAGGAATGTCTGCAAGGGATTCAGTGATGTGACCTATCTTCAAATCTCCTAGCAGCAGGTACCAGCACTAGCTCTGATGGGGGGAGCAGGGGAGTGACATAGACTCTGTGAGATTCCTTGCTTATAAATAGCCTTAGTGTGTTGGCTTTCTCAAATGCCAGTTGCAGAAGTAACAAACTGGCCATATGGAGAGACTCAAGACCTCCTGGTTAGCCAGAGTGATGCAGACAATGGTGATAGCTGAGATCATGCAAAAGCTTTGTCCTTTATGGGCACTGTGTTATTCTGCCTGGAGATGTTGTAATGAACTGTCTAAATTGGGCTCCAGCCAGAGGGTTGCACTTGCAAAGGAGCACCCGCTCCAGTGGTAGCAGTGGGATTTGTGCTTGCCTTTTGTTTCCCTGAGGAGGTACTCTGGTGTCTCAGTCAATGGTAAAGGCCATGGAGCTCCCCAAAATTTCTGTCTGTTGTGTTAAATTACCAAGGTAGGTGGAGGGGCAAAGCCAGGTTAGGGCTGGGCCAGGTAAGTCCATGCCCTGGTTCCCTTCATGCAGGCACAAGCAGCTGTCTCAATGGGGATCAGAGTGCAGTTCTCTGACCCCTGGGGTAATGTTCCAGGGAGGAGTGCAGCTACCTCCATTGTACAAAAGAATTTTGGGGGGTAGTGGGGAGTAGCAGGTGGCAATATGCTCTATCCGGCTCCCTTGTAGCTGGCAAGGCAGGTCTGACAGCCATAACATTCCACTAGCAGCAGCTAGATGGATTCCAAGCAGTCTGTGCTCAGAACTCAAAACTGCCCGAGGTGGAAACCGTGGCTTTCAGGCCACACCCCTCCTGGTCTGCCCATGAAGCAGGGGCATCCACCTCCTGTGCCTGTGGCTGTAGCATACTTCCCTCTTGCCCATTGGATCTGGCCAAAGGGGTTCATCTTCACTCAAGATTATATTGGGAATCCTAATTAGGAACTTCTCTCAACCTGTGACTGCTGCCTGGGTTAGCTGGCTGGCTTCTGTAGTTCCCTGTAAGGTAGGATCAGGATGGGCTTCCCTCTGTTCCACTGGAGTCTGAGAGCACATGCAAAGAATGTGCTGATGCCACTCTGAAGCAGGATATTTCCCTGACCCCTTCACAGGACTTGTGAAGGGGGTGCCCCCTTTACAAGACTTGTGAAGGGGGTGCCCCCTTCACAAGTACTCTCAACTCTTCACATGAGGAAGCATGTGAGTGAAAGAGGTGTGAACTGGAGTACGTAACTGCTGGAGTGAGCTGGCCACTCCAGCACCAGCAGAGGTGAACTTCACTTACTCGGACCCGCTGTGCTCCATGACTTGTGGGAGGAAGTATGCAGGTGAGTGGGTGCAAGAGTTCAGGTGCCGGCCGGATACACCTCCATAGTGGCCCTGTGGCAGCATCTGGGAGGAGATGACCCCTGAAGCCCCAGAGGGCATGTTACAGTGCTCTTGTAGCTTGGCTGCCTGCAGACAGCTTAAGTGTTAACAGCTCAGTGGACCCTCTACATTTTCACGTGAGGCAGCTGCCTTCCACCAGCAAGGGCAAAGAATCAGTGTGACAGCCTTTTGCATCTGCACTCATGGTTCCCGAATTCTTGTCTGGCATCCAGGAGAAATGAGGTTGCACAAACAAATCGAAGGATGGTAAATGTGGGAGACTGTTTTGCCGATAGAGGTGGCTCTCAGTGGGAAGAGGAGCTTTAACGGAGATATGTTGGGAAGATAATCTTCCCCTGAGGTCTGGCTGTCCCTGGCCGGATTCTTCTCTGAAGTTATGCCTCTAACCTGTCTCTCTGAAGTTAAGCCACTTTTCTTCAACGTCCAGCCATAGTCTGTGATGTCCAGCTGCTTCTCCTCTCTTCTGGCTGAGCCTGGGTTTTTTATGGGCACTGCATGAGGGTGCAGGGCTGGCAATGGGTGGTTTTGGAAAAGGCAACATTTGAGCAGGACAACAGGAATGTAAGGTCTCACTTTGGGAGGTGGTTTCAGGCTTTTTGGCTTGAGGGTGGGGCCCTCACCAGGGACCTTTTCTGTCCAGAATTTCCCTGTCTCCTGTCCCTGTCAACTCCTTCTCATATAGTCCCCACCACTCACTAAATCAGCTCCTGCACAGGGTAGGGTTAAAGCATTCTTCTGAAGGCCTGGATGGTCAGTTTTCCCAGTGGGAGTGTATATCCCACAGGCAGTCTCTCCCCTCTCACACTCTTGGGACTTAGAGTTTTCTGCCTGGCTCACAGTGTAAGCTGGAGCCTTCTACTTCTTTCAAAGGGTCTGTGGTTTCTTTCAGTTTTCCTGTTAAGTGCCTGTGCTGCGTCTTGGAAAAAATGTTCACAACATGAGTCGGTATACATTATTTTGTCTTTCCAAGTGGGAGAGGCAGGCTAACGATGCCTTCAATCTACCATCTTGAGAAAAAAAAATCCTATCACCTAGAATTATGGCAGGAGAAAACACCCCTGATTCAGTGTCCAAGTTTTTGATAAAGGCGAGATAGTTATCAGTCAAGTAGAAGCTGGTACGTGTAGATGAAATCATCAAAAATATGTATTCCATTTTACAATATTCCACTTTATGGAAGTGAAAAAGCAATGGTGTGAAAGTGATAATCCTGAGAAAATAGATGGTTGATTTTTCCATCCTACCAAAGCCTAAATGTGTTATTTGTGCTGTAGCAAAATGGGCAGGTCTGCTCTAAAGTTAACTGCAAGTGAAATGGTATCATCAAGGGAGAGCCATGTATAAGTAAGAAAATATAGGAGATACCCGTAAAAAAGGTGACAATAGCAAATGTGTTTTTTAATCAGTTGACTTTATTTATTTTTTTGACACAGAGTCTTACTCTGTCACCCAGGCTAGAGTACAGTGATGTAATCTTGGCTCACTGCAACATCTGCCTCCCGGGTTCAAGTGATTCTCGTGCCTCAGCCTCCTGAGTATCTGGGATTACAGGAATGCACCACTGCACCTGGCTAATTTTTGTATTTTTAGTAGAGATTGGGTTTCACCATGTTGGTCAGGCTGGTCTCGAACTCCTGACCTCAGGTGATACACCCACCTCGGGCTCCCAAAGTGCTGGTATTACAGGTGTGAGCCCTCTGCCCAGCTGTTAATCAGTTGACATTAATCAGAATGTAGTACTCTACTCCCATAAATGTTATAATAGATACTATTATAATAAGCCCAGTTATTTCCCAATTATTGGGTTGACATGAGTTTTGTGATATCCAACAGATTCTCTAGGACCTGAAAAATTGTGAGTCCTGATGGAAAACTGCTGACAAGTTTTACCTCAGGATATAGCAAGTGGATTTCTTAGTTTTGTGAATCCAGGATCACTTTCTTATTTGTGAAATTATAAGTGAGGCTAAATCATTGGACCTCTGGCCAGTCCTTCTTTTAAGAATAACTTAAACAGACTTAGTCTTATGAAAAAATAGCTTAAAACTTTGACCATTTTTCATTCTATATCTGAGCAGAGATGGTGAGAGACAGACACTTATATCAGGTAGCTTGGAAGGAAGACATTCATAATATTCAGATGGGATCAGTTCCAGTGGTGGGTGTCAGTGAACCTGCCAGCCTGCTGAGTGTGAAGTAATTGCTGCTTGCCTAAGGCTTTCCTAGTTCTTTGGGTGATAGATATTGACAGGTAGAAAGAGGCTTGTAAAGGATTTTCTTCCTGATTTATAGAGATCCCACATGATGCCTATGTGTTTCTATGTGTGTTTCGTGGGGGTGATGTATTTCCACTTTACAGCCTGCTTACTTTGTGTTCACAATTGTGTCACCCTCTCCCCAAAGATCAATGTATCTGAGGCAATGAGAGAGGACTGATGCTTTGCTGTGAGTAGGCTGCTTATAAATGATTGCTTAGAGTCAAGTAGAACACAAATGAGTGCTTCCAAGAGCCAGGATGAGCAATGTCTGCGGGGACACAGTTCCTTCAAATCTACTTTAACTCATGCCAGAGGAGAACTGAACTGGAGACTAACACCGAGTAGTCTTCTTTGACCAAACAGTTTTCCCTCTTTAGTTACTGACACAATTTAGGTAAAACACAGATTCCTTTTCTAAATGTTCAGCAGAAAATCCAATTTGTTGTATCTGTGAATATTTTAATGAAACCCAAATAATCTCATATTTAAAGGTGATATACTAATAAGATTAAAAAAAAAACCAACTGTATATACTGTTGTATTTTTGATGAGTCAGACCAGGATTTTAAAATTAGAAGAGGAAAGGTATAAGGGATGGAAGAAAAGACCCAGTAGTGCATCTAGGGTCTGGTTACTGGAATGAATAGGTTTTAAAAACTCTTAACAATCAATTATAGGATATTGAATGGAAAATATTTAGTTATTATTTCAATAAGGTTATTGAACTGTTTAAAATACTAGGATTATAAGGAATAAAAATGCAATCTAGATACACAGGGAATTCAGTCTATTTGATGATACAGACATGTCTAAACAGTGTCATCTGCATCATTTTGGGAAAATATAATCACATGTTATTTTTTTTTCCAGTTTATTGTGCAAGCCCTCATGAGCTTGTATTCTTTCTGATTTTTCAAGCATCTTGAAGTTTATATAGGCAAAAGACGTATGTCTGAATTATGAAATCTGATTGTGTTTTTTGGTTGCTAAAATGTGATGTCACCATTAAACACTGTTTCTTTGGAGTCGGATGAATACTTTTCCATACCTTTGTGATGCCTCACTGAAACAGACTTCTGAACAGGCTGTGGCAATGCACCCATCCTTGGAATTCAAGATGAGAGAACTTTGTTCATCTTCAAGCTTAGCCACTATTTTCTAGCTGACTGGGTCAACTTCATGTGCTCAGGGAACTGGCCTTCTTCCATGAAATGCTTGGCTGTTGTGCTGAGTCAGTAGCATAGACTCCTCGTTCCCTCATGGTCATTGCCCAATGAGAATTTTGAATCAGAAATTAGTTGGAGTCACTTTGTCCAACTAAATTTCCATAATTGTGACTCTTCTGAAAAAGTAATTGAGTTCTCTGGTACTTCCTTCTCAATAGGCACCTTTATTTCCTTGCATAAACTTTCGTACCCACTTTCCAATAAATTATGCCAATGTCACAGCGAAGGGCAGCATTCAATATTTATGGGTGTTTCCTACCTGCCTTATATTTGTGCTGAAGTAGAATGGTAATATAATAATGAAATGTACTTCTTTTTTTTTTTTGGAAAGAGTGATTAAGAAACTTTATTACAGAAAATGAATGCATCCAACGTCCCCATATACACTTATGACAAGAACAGACACACACAGGAGACACAGACAATAGTCACTACATCACAGCCTTGTTCTTTCCGAAGGATAAAACGTCATTCAAGAATGGGATGAGGTGGTTAGAGGGAGTAGGTACTATCCTTTTAAATGGAAAAAAAAATTAAAAACAAAACCAACAGGTTGGCATCTTAAGAACACACAGTGGGCCCAGAAATCAAGCTAAGCCTAAGCCTTAGGTAACATCATGCCATTTCCATCATCTCAGAGAAACTAGGGCATTATTCTACTAGAGGAACAATCTTGTGACAGTGTAAAAACATTGAGTAGTGATCTTACTGCACCAGCTAATGGACCAAGTGGCCTCAACTTGACAGCCTCTTTAAAACTCAATGTTTGCCTAATCAAAGATCTGTCAGGTCCTGGATGAGTACAAGTTATGGTCACGGTCACAGCCTGATCTCTATGTACTCATAGCCATTCCCTCTCCCATCAGAACTGTTTGTCCTGAATGTGTTCTCTAGTTCTAGAAAATGACCACTAATTTAAAAACCTCGGTTGTGAGGTTTGCCCAGAGGCACTTGTTCCAGAATTGCCCCTCCTGCTTCAGCCATGTCCTTGTCACTTGGCATTCTAAGCTAAAGCTTTAGCTTCCCAATTTGTGATGTGCTAGGCCAAGATTCGGGAGCCGTTGCCAGCCTCATCAAATATGGAAGAGAAACAACCTGTAGTCAAAAGGGAGTGATTTGTTAAGTGGTGCCCGTCTATCTCGTAACTAGATGTACCAACCAGGGAAGGGCAAAGGATGGAAAGGGGTAACTTTTGTGCTTCCAAAGTAGCTAGGCAGAAGTGGGGAAGCAGTTTAGCCAAATGAAATGTACTTCTAAGTGATTTTTTTCTTTTTGGTCTCTATTGTGTGTCTAGAATTAGCTGACTTAAAAAAAATCACTTTTATTTAGCACCGGGTAGCAAGGATAATTTCTCGAGATGTTAATTTTTACTTTGTTCTTACTGCTTTATAGTTTCTCACACATCTCAAGAAGGTGTCATGGCTCTTTTGTAGTATTTGCTCCCTATTGGTTTTGATTTGGCTAATTAAAATGTATTTGAACGTCCTAGACAGAGGAAAAGATAGACGTGAGTATTGATTTTAGGGCTAGACCTGAGTAAAAGTGAAATACCTGAAAAATCTCTGAGACTAAGTATAAGGATGAGGATGGCAGAAACTATGGACTTTTTGTTGGGGATCCACTCAGGGCAGACAATTTGGCTCCATTTACATGTAGGTTATGAGATGAAGAATTTCTCCCTATGTTGGAGACATGGAATACTAACCATCCTGAAATTGGAAGTGTGAGTCTCAGCAAAACTGGGGAGTTCTGGAGCTGGACTCCCTTTCTGGAGAAATCCAGCTTAGGCAATAAGCATGTTGGCAGAGACAAGTATGGTCAAATGACTACAGAGCTCTTCCACAAATGATCTCTTGTTAAAATGCCAAGACCCTCATTTATAATCCTGAGAAAACCTCAGCAATGATTGAGAAGGAATGTGCTACTACCCTTGTGCTGTGGTATTTATGGGTCCCTCAATATTCATCTGTTGGAAACTTAATCGCCAGTGCAACAGTATAGAGAGGTGTAACTTTTAAGAGGTGATTAGGCAGAGTCCCTTATGAATAGATTAATGCCACTATTACAGAAGTGGGTTTCTGTGGGAGTGGGCTCTTAATAAGAGAAAGAGATTGGCCCTCTATTGCCCTCTCTTGCATACTCTTGCTCTCCCATCTTCTGCCATGGGATGATGCAGCAAGAAAGCCCTCATAAGATGTTAGCACCTTGGTATTGGACTTCCCAGCCTGTAGAACTGTGAGAAATTAATTTTTCTTTTTAAAAACTACCCAGTCTGTTGTAATCTGTTGTAGCAACACAAAACTAAGACACCTGGCCAAAGGTGGACTTGAAGCAAATTGAACATCATTTAAAACATAATTGATTTTTTGGCATCTATTAATAGGTACTGTGCAATTAAGACCATATTTGTTCCTCATTGAAGATAAACTTTTGCCAGGGAAGTTTTGCAAAGGAATGATAGTTTAGGCAAATCTATTTTTTTTTTGAGATAGAGTCTCGCTCTGTTGCCCAGGCTGGAGTGCAGTGGCACGATCTGGGCTCACTACAAGCTCTGCCTCCTGGGTTCATGCCATTCTCCTGCCTCAGCCTCCCCAGTAGCTGGGACTACAGGCACTCCCCACCACATTTGGCTAATTATTTTTGTATTTTTAGTAGAGACGGGGTTTCACTGTAGCCAGGATGGTCTCGATCTCCTGCCCTTGTGATCCGCCTGCCTTGGCCTCCCAAAGTGCTGGGATTACAGGCATGAGCCACCGCACCCTGCCAGGTAAATCTTGATGGATGAGTAGAATTTCATTAAGTAGAGAAGCAGATATAGAGGTTTCTAGGAAGAGGAGTTATTTTAAGGAAAGGTGTAGAGACACAGCATCTCAAAGCATATTAGGAAAGAGCAAGCAATCTAGAGTAACCCTGCAGGTTGCAAAGTAAGAAGCCTGTGTAAAAATACTAGAAGGTAGGTTGAGCTTCCTTGTGAGAGACCTAGAATGTCTTTGTCTAAAGACAATAGGGTTTTCCAGTAGGTAAGTCATAAGCCCCATTCAAATATTCATTACTTATTTGTTCATTTAAAATTTATTGAGTACTATGCACTCTTCTGGGTGCTTGGAATTTGATAGTAGAGAAAGAAAGCTCCTGCTAACATTCCAAAGAGGACAGAAAGCTATGAAAACATTATCAAATGGATAATATAATGTTAGAGAGTGATAATGTGCTAGAAGCCAAAGTGAAGTGGGGCAAGGGCATGGGGAATTATGAGGAATGTTTTATTGCAGGGATCCCTAACCCATCTCTGGCCTGTTAGGAACCGGGTGGCACAGCAGAAGGTGAGCGGTGGGTGAGTGAGCATTACCACCTGAACTCTGCCTCCTGCCAGATCAGCAGTGGCATTAGATTCTCATAGTAGCATGAACTCTATTGTGAACTGCACTGTGAGTTCACAATCTAGGTTGCATGCTCCTTATGATAATTTAATTAATGCCTGATAATCAGAGTGGATCAGTTCCATCCCAAAACCATGCCCTCCACCCTCTACCCCAGGAAAAATTGTCTTCCACCAAACCGGTTTCTGGTGCCAGAAAATTAGGGACTGCTGTTTTAGTGGACAGGAGAGCTAAGGGAAATCTCTCTGGAGACAAATGAGGGATACAAATACTTGATGTAAGAAGAGTTTAGACAGAGGGAGCAGCAAATGCAAAGGTACTGAAGTAGGAGTGTGGTTGGTATTCCCCAGCAATGGCAAGGAGCAGGTGGTAGAGGATGATGTCAGAGAGATCCAAGCTTATAAGACCATTGAAAACATTTTGAATTTTATTTTAAATGTGCTGGGAAATATCGCAGGGCTTTGAGCAAGGCTGCGGCCTTATGAGCTTCATGCCTTTAAAGGATAACCCCATTTACTGTGAAGAGAACTGATTGTAGGAGGGGCAAGAGTGGAAGCAAGGAGAGGGATTAGGATGCCATTGTAGCAGTCCGGGCCAAAGAGGAGGTAGCAGTATAGAAAGTAGAGTAGAGAAAAGGCCCATAGGTAGGTTTGGGACCAGAAGGTAAAGAGCCTTTTTAGTAATATCGACAAGTAGAGTTTATTCTGCAATCTGCAATTAAGTTAAAGTGCTGCTGGTTCTTTACTATCAGAATTTTCACTCAACCTTCATCCCTATAACTTGAGGAGTCCTACCTGGAGATGTGGTCAGAGGTATACCCAGTGTTCAGTTGTAAGCAACGCATAATAACATTTTTTCTCCTAGGTTGCCCCACTATATAGCTACATTAGCGTGATAACCCTCTCAAATCTTCTTAGAAGTAGATGGGTTAAAAACATAAAAAAGAGAGCAGAGTTATAAAGGCATTTTTTTGTAGGATACAGGTGATGTGCTTTTAGCTTCAGAAAATAAAATAAAACAATTTTTTTTTTTGGGATGGAGTTTTGCTCTTGTTGCCCAGGCTTGAGTGCAATGGCACAATCTTGGCACACAGCAACCTCCACTTCCCGGGTTCAAGCAATTCTTCTGCCTCAGCCTCCCCAGTAGCTAGGATTACAGGCATGCACTACCATGTCCAGCTAATTTTTTTGGTATTTTTATTAGAGATGGGGTTTCTCCATGTTGGTCAGGCTGGTCTCAAACTCCTGGCTTCAGGTGATCTGCCCACCTCAGCCTCCCAAAGTGCTGAGATTACAGGTGTGAACCATGGCATTGGAACAGAAAACAATTTTAAAAAGGCAAGTATACCTGTAAATCTATTTACTAAAGCTAAATTCACAAGTATATTAGCTAATACAATTAAACTAAATAGATGGAATTATATAATTCAACGCAAAATAATTTTCATGAATAATGCCACATTTCTTACTATTCCTGATAATGTTGTCTGTTAGAGATTTAAAAGACAACAGTAGACTTAGACAGCAATTAGTGAAGGTGTTCAAAAGGTATCATGTAACATGATGGATAGTGGGTTGGAGAAGAGTGATGAACACAGAGAGACTATAGGAGGCTTTTAGAAATTCAGACAGACTGGATTGAGAGCTTGGAGGGAAACAGATTTTGAGGAATACTTCAGAGCTTGACTGGAGTGTAGGTCATAGTCTCTCTGGTCAAGGTGTTGGGTTTGAATCCTGGCTTTAACTGTTTCTAGCTATGGGACTTGGTAAATTAGTTAAGGTTGCCATGCCTCAGTTTCCTCATCAGGGATAAGAGTGCTTATCTCATAGGATCTTTATCAGGATTGAATTAGATTTTTCTACATACGGTTCTTAATGCAGAGAGTGACACATAAGTATTTAATATGGTTTACCTATATTATTGAACTGAGTGGAATTTAGAGACTAGAAGCAAAGTGTAAAGATATGGAAGGAATAAAAAAAAAATAGCCTCCCTTATCTTATTTGGTTCTCTTGGTAGATGTTTCATCACATCTGATTCTATCAGTAATACATCTTAAAAAATTAAAAATGGAGTTTGTTTCAAACATGTTTATCTTTAGACACAGTACTTGTTACATACATCTAGAGTTCAGTTATTTTTACTGTTGTATTGCATTTTATGGGTAAATCACAATATATTTATCAGTCAGGATGGATAGACATTTGGATTATTTCATTATGAACAATGTTGCTATACACATTGTTGTACATGTAGTTTGGTGCATGTATACATTAAGTTTGGTCGAGTATATACCTAGGAGTTTTTGTCAAGAGTTCCCCATGCAGCCCCTGTAAATATCATCCCACGCTTCTGGTCCTCTGGCTTTGCCTCCTCTTCCACTTTTGAACTTTAATGTGAGTGCTTTATACTGGCAAACTCTATACTAGAACCATAGGGGAAAGGGGATTCTCAAAAATGTAGTCCTTGACTTCTGTTTTTGTGATGCAGAAGAGAACTTAAAAGTGAGTACAGATAATGTTTAATTGACAACAGACTATAAAATAAACTTTTTGTGTGTGTCTAATGGTCATGTGGATATTGCATTTTGTGTTGTATCTATTAAATTATCTTTCCCATTTTTCTGTTGGTTTGTAAACCTTATTTAAGTTTTTAAATATTCAAGATATGAGCATTTTATCAGTGATAAGTTTTGCAAATAACTTTCACTGCTCTGGTTTGCCTTTCCTCTCTTAAAGATTTCTTTTGGTGAACAGAAGTTCTTAATTTTAATATAATGCCTTTTATTAATTCTTTCCATTATTGTTAGTATTCATCACGTGCTGTTTAACAAATCATCCTGTACCACTTGTCCAAGCTTTTATTTTCAACTTTTTAGAAAATTCTTTTAGGTATGTCTCTTAAAAATAGTATTTTGTTATTCTACATTTTCCCCCGCGCCCAGTTAGTTACATATTTTTTATGCTGTTTTACAACTATTATTGTGGTTGCTCCAGGACAAAATACCTCCTTGACTTACCAATGACTATTCTAAATTGTACTCTTACCCCTTCCTTGAGAGTGCAAAAGTTCTGAAATGTTTTAGCATCACTACCCCTCTGTTCAAGTTATGGGCTATAAACATCAAGTATTAAAATTCTCTGTAAATTAAAAAAGACTCATAAAACATAATTACTATTATTTAATTCCATAAATATTATTGGTATTTATTTTATTCCCCCTTTTCCTTGTCCTTCATTTCCACCTGCATCTTATTTCAACTAACATTATTTTTCTTCTGCCTGAAGAATTGCCTTTAATATTTCATTTATTGTGGCCTACTGATAATGAATGCTGTCAGCGTTTCTTTATCGGAAAATGTCTCTGTTTTAATTTTCATTTTTGAAAGGTATTTTTCGTGGTATAGAATTAATATCTGTATTTATTTCCTTCTAGCAACTTGAAGTTATTTTATTATGTTCTGGCATCCACTGTTTTTTGTTGAGAAGCTAGGTGTAAGTCTGATTGACTCTCCTTTAAAGGTAATATATCTTTTTTGTAGCTGCTTTTAAAATTTTTGGTTTTTGCTTTTCAGTCACTACCACAGTGTGCCTAGGAGTCTTTGCTTGTATTTATACTTCTTGATGAGGATGGCACATCTTGAAATTTATAGATTGAACTCCAATATATTGTGATTCTAACCCTATGAGTTTGTAGAAATTTTAGCTTAGAGTCAATTGAAAGTTCCGTTCAGCTGCTTAGCCTCTCACCTCCCTCTTCTGAAATGGTCAGGTACCTCCAGGTGAAAAGTAGCACCAAAGTTGATCTTGCTGAATTTCCTTCTACTTCCTTGTCTTTCCCTGTAGTTCTTGACTGCCTTGTTATCTTTCTGAAAGGAATAAGAAATCTAATCAATATAGTTTATTAGAAATGCAGTATGGTGTTTTGAAATGAATTGTATTTGCTCTTTTAGAAAGGAGAATGTAAATAAATCATAAGCTATTTTCCTTTCAACTGGATGCATGGTATAAGATATTATATCTTTGTTTCAAATTATAGCTTTAAATGTATGAATAGGTTATAACTGAGAAAAATTATCCCGAACATGAATAATTATCTCATTCTGAATTTCTGTCTGCATTCTTTCTATGTAAGCTTAAGTATATCACAGACCTGCTAACGAGTCCCAGGACAACTTTTCAGTGTAAGTGTTTTTCTTAGTAGCTTACAGAAATAATGTCCACTCTTGCTTTGATATTTAACTCAGATTTTTAGTTAAATCAAACTTGGTATATTAAAAGAAAGTAATTTAAATAATTATTTTAAAAACATCTTTTGTAAATTGTATTCTTTTTTGAATCTTTGGAAGTCTACTTCTCACATGCAGTTTATGTTCATTAGCCATGAATAACCTTCATTTTTATATTTTGTTTTAAAATGAATAAAGTTATATTTCTAAATATATCATCAGAGGACTTCCGTACCTCTCCCTCCAATGAATTGTGGTTATATAGGGCTGTATCTGCCATTTGGTGCTTCTGTTTCAGTATTAACATTTGAGAAAAATTTCAGTTCCATTGTGCCTTACTAATAAAATAGAATAAAATCATTCATGGTAAAACAGGAGTCAAATATAATCTAAGGATTAATGGCATGTATCCCTGTATTAAAATGGCCTACAAAAATATTGTATCTGGCTGAACTTGACATTGTGAGAAAAGATTCCATTTTTGACATTTATTCCTACTGGAGAGTCACTTCATATAAATCCACAAAATATTAAGTGCTTAATATTTCTTAACTTGTTTTTCCTTCAAAGTAAGTAAAACATTTGGCAGGTTTATTGAACTGTTGATGCAGCATGATGCCTCAGGGAAGCTAAAACATTTTCAGTGAAATGCTTAAAATAATGACAGTTCATATCCTTAGTCAGGCCTGGGAATGCATATCAGGTGAGAATGATGAAAAAAAGCCATGAGAATGGTGCAGACTAAAGGACTGAAAAATAGAAAACAAGATTAGACAACCACAGGAATAAAACATTGATCTTTCACTGTTTACCATCTGAGTAAAACTATTTTTCCTCGTGTACTTTTTTCTATTTTGCAAACAAAAGGAACTAAATAATTAATGTTTTATTTGCTATATTTTATACTCAGACTCCTTGTGAAAAGTCCTAAGCAGAGTTAATAAAATGATTTTGGAGTTTGTATAGTTTTTAAGTTAGATTGCAAAATTCACTTTCATGTATGATATTGTGGTATATTTAGAGAAATAGTATCTGACTCATGAGTTACTGTTTCAAAAAACTTGTTTATAAATGAACTGTTTGGAGTTTGGAACTGATTTCAGGTAGAGTTAAGTTCTATATATCCTGCATGTGTCTCTTTAGTATTGGAATTTCCTAGTTTAAATATCAGCTTTTTCCCTGGAAAATGAGCGAGTTAAGGGCACTACTCATGTTCTTGTTCATTCATTAAAAAGGCTGTACATAGCAATCAGTTGGTGCTCAATACACAATGTATAAATTAACTATAAAATAAGTTGTGTTTGTAGGCCAGGCCAAAATAATCTATGATAGCACTCTAAACACCAATGGCATTGATCACTTGGTCCAGAAAGCACAGAACTCTTCAAAGAGGACAAAGAGGAAAAATTAGTGTAGAGGAACTTTGTCCTGCTTCCCTGGGGACAGGGCCAGTATGAAAGGTTATCTCGAAATATCTGATGCAAATCTTTGCAATCACCAGCACCTCCTCTATGTTCCTCCCTTGTACCTGGCATATTTGTATTTCCAGTTAAAATGTACTTGATACAGCTTTCTGAGACCTTCAAGTTGTGTCAAACTTAAGGCAAGATTGCAAAGCATCAGGTATGCAAATACTTACATTTTGGACTTCAAAGTTGTGTAGTCTTAACATTTATGTGAGAGAATCAACAGCATAATAAAATTTATTGTCAGTTATGTTTAAAACAAATTATTAATCTACAAATGCAAATATGAGTTCGAGCTGTATAAACAACTTTAGATGACAATATATAGGCAATAAATTACAGAGTGAAATTTATTTCTTAAAAATGCAAATGAACCCATCTGGAAAATATGATAAAATGCTAGTAATTCAGCAAGAGAAAGGAATCTGGAAAGCAGTAATGATGGAGAGTTTTCTAGATGAATAATCGTTGGTACTGGATAAAAAATTAAAAATAAGCATTTGACTTTGGGGGTTGGTAAAGTACATCTTTTGAGTTGCCTATAACAGTACAAATCTGTTAAAGCCCACAGGTACAGATCATTCTCTTATGATTACAGAGGTATAGTTTCAATTTTGGCCACTTGTACTGAGAAAGTTTCAGCCAGTGGAAGGGAATGTTGATGAACTCGAAGGAGGTAACAGGAATAATTATGTCTCTGGAAAAACCCACTTTGGAGGAAATGTTCAGATAATAATACAGTTTAAATTGCATAAGTCAGATCAATGAGAAATTATGGCCCTCATATGAAGATAGTCTATAAACAATAGCAGCAGTGGCAACAGCAATAATAAAAAAGTTTAAGTGTCTTTAAGAGTCATGAAAATAGAAGCAGGAGTTACCTAACAGAAATATAGTACTTGACATCATTAAGAAATATAATAAAGCAGTTTACTGGTAAAATTGTGCACTTGCCTGGGGGCACTGTAGAATTTTTTTTACTGAAATATATAAGTAAAAGTTGATTTAGAATAACAATGTGAAACTCTTCTCCAAAAACGTCTTAACATACTTGTAACTTTTTACTTTATCTTGTGTTAAAGTATCTTGATCATCAGTAATTTGTGCTAGTAATGGATCAATTCAATTTTTATACTTTTTCTTGGAATGCCTTTCTTTACAATTAGCTAATCATCCTTTAAATAAGCTGACTTTATTTTAGCAAAATCCATTAAGGAAGGTTGTTATTTACATCATTAATTTCTCTCCAGAACTTCTAATTTTATTACTGGAGGCATAGATGGAAACTGTAATTAGAAAAAACATCATTCAAATTGGCAGTGTCATTTCTTCTTTTTAACCCAGGTATGCTAAAACCATATTAATAAGTACCCTTCCAAAGAGAATACTTATAAAACCAGTTCAAATCATCAAAGTATTAACTAGATCAATCAACCTTAATATTTATACATTTAATACTCATTATTTTTCTATATAATATTTGGTATGCAGAATAAACATATTAGTAACATAAATTTTTCTCTCAGTCCTTAGATAGTGTTATTAGAAAGTAAATAAAGTGTTAAAAGCTCTTAGAAAATTGCAGTGAATTCGCTTCAAAAGGGCAAAGTTTGATAAATTATTCTCCCTTATTGTCTATTTGGATTCATATATTTATTTTCAAATGCCCCAGCTAGTCATCATTTCTCTTACTCAAATGAATGATTAAATGTACTAATGTTTTCCATCTTTCATAGCCTGACAAATTTTAAGTAGTGCTTAAATGATATGATTATTTTGAGATATTTCTAAGTTAATCCCTTAATTTTCTAAGTTTATTGTGAAAAATACATATCAAGGTTAATGTCTCTTTTTACATCTCAGTGTTTTTCTTCTCTCATCCTGTAATATAGGTAGTATTATTCAAGCAAAAAGGATTAATAGATTACCAAAAAAGGTTGACATTTTATAGTGTGTAATGTGATAACTCATAACTATGATAAAAAAGCATTCATTCTAATTCTATATGTAATGTAGCTCTGTAAGTGCAGTTGCTTTTATCGTAGTTATGAATTATCATGTTGCACTCCACAAAGCGACAACCTTTCTTTGCTGATCTATTAACTCTTCCTGCTTGAATAATAAGATTTCTTAAATCAGGCATCTTAGTTCTTAGACAAGAAAGTCATTTCTTTATAAGAAGAGAGCATAGTGGGTTTCTCTACGTAATCGTTTTGTGAAGAGTCTCCAGTTTGAGTTCTGAAGGTTATCTTTTATTCTATACTTACTATAATTATCAGCAATTATCTATTCAACATATGTGAAAGGTGCTTATTTTCAAATAGTTGCATTTTTTAAATGAATGAAGAAATACATTCATAATGAAAATATTAGAAACCTTTAATTTTTAAAATGAGTTCATCTTCCGTTCATTTCAGTTATAAAGGGGGAAACTCTAATTCTAACAGAAAAGCAGAATTACTGAAATCGTATTTAAACACACAATGACTTAGTTATAAATGTCTTAAGAGGATATGACAATTAAAAATCAAACTTAATTTTGGGATGTTATGCCACAATATCATTTAACAAAAGAGAAATTCCTGGTTTGAAGATCTGAGAGATGATAATTTGAGGCTAGTTAAAACACCTGGCCATCAGAAGTGTCAAATATTTGAACTATCAGTGTATTATTAGAGCCTGGTTCTGCATGTATGTGAGTGGATTTCAATATCATGGATTAGGTTCTCATATGTCAGATTTTACTTGTTATTTTTCCACTTATGTTATAAACACCTTGAGGGCAGTGGTCAGATTATAGAATTTTTTCCCACCCACAGCTCACAGTTCTTTGCACATAGTAGGGGAGGAATAACTGATGGATTCACAAACATGAATGTTCTAAATAAAAACAAAGAATGATAAAGTACCTTCTCAAAGAAATGTCAGCTACACAGCACTATTTTGAGAAAACATAGTGAGGAAAAAAGGAAAAAAGAAAGAAGGGAAGATTTAATGAGATATCGCCTGTCAGGGTCTCTGCTTATAGAAAACACAGTAACAAAGATCAAAGAGCCTGCCATAATCATACTGTTCATCACTGACAGAAATAGAGTGAAAATGTCCATTATAGTGATGATTTTTCAAAGTCTTGGAGTGTTTTGGAACTGATTGGGTGTCTTTTCATACTTGGAACTTAAGTTGGAAAAGATTCCAGAGGAGGTTTAAAAAATAGTCTAGCAACCCATCAGGATTTTCCTAGACTCGTTGAAAGATAAGAATTTTGAACTTGGATTCACATACTGTGAATATTGGCATTCATTTCATATGACATTCGTGGTTAGCTTTTTAAAAAACTGTGTTTCTGGGGATTAGGCTTGGCTGTGTTTACAGAGAGAGGGATAATAGCACATAAAGAATTAAACATAGAATTATAAAACACATTTCTCCAGAGCTCATTTCAATGATATGAATGTGATAAAACCATCTTTCTGGAACCTAGCCTTTTTTTCATAATGTAAGAGAAACTAACCAGGTAGGGCCCATTTTATTGTCTTCCAGTGGCAAAATGAAGCAGTGAGAAGTGGCAATTATTCAGGTCATTTAATAGGATATTTCTGTCACTTTTTTCTTGGCTTTGTAAGGTCAGACCTCTGGAGGCTGAATTTGCCACTTTCCCCAAGGGAATACCCATCTTAGAAAGCGATATTTTTTTCTGTGAAATACAATTCGGCATTGTTATGGGAGAACCTTTTTACCCCTTTCTCCTTTCAAAGAGTCTTCATTATTATTCACTTTTGGCTTCTGTTTGCCCAACTTCCCTTGGTATTAGGAAGAGGGAGGTGCGTCTGCATATATAGCTAGCTTGCCCCTCTCTCTTTCTACCCTCTGGCATCTAGCTGCCTTCAGGGAGCACAAGGTCTGATTTGTTCTTGGCCATGTAGCAAATGTGGTAGCCATAGCCCTGAACTCTTAAGAGAATCCTACTATTTACAGGTTTGCTGTGATTAGTTTTGTAAATATGCCTAATTTGGTGGTTATTAGGAAGCCTGTAGTTTCCCTAACTAAGCTTTCTTTACAAAGATCTATCAGGCTGTCAGATGACAAGGCTGGCATTTTTGATGACCTGACTCCTTTGTCTCAGTTATTTCAGGTCTTGGGTAGAAAAGCAGAAGTCTTATATGTTGGTCCTCTAAAAATCCTAAGAAGTATGAAATTTTTAACCTTTACTAATATAGACGAGCTTTAAAGAAGACATAAAAAATAGCCCAGTGTGTTAGGGTTCTCCAGGAAAACAGAACCAAAAGGAGATATACATGATCTGCCTTCTGCAAGCTGGAGACCCAAGAAGGCTGGTGATATAGTTTGAAGGCCTGAGAGCCAGAGAGCCAATGGTGTAGATTCCAATCCAAGTCTGAAGGTTGAGAACCAGGAGCTCTGCAGGCAGAAAAGGATGAATGTCCATGCTGAAGCAGTCAGGCAGAGAGAATGAATCTTCCTTTCCTCCACCTTTATGTTTTGCTCAGGCCCTCAATGAATTGGACGATGTCCATCCACATTGGTGAACATCCTTTACTCAGTCTAAAGCAGGCGGTACATTTCACTCAGTATATTAGGGTTCTCCAGAGAACCAGTAGGAGATACACACACACACACACACACGCACACATACACACACACACACGTATGTATGTATGTATGTGTCATGAGAACTTTATGGAGGCTGAAGTCTTACCATATGCCAACCTCAAGTTTGAGGGAGCCAGGAGAGCTGGTGGTGTAATTCAGTTCAAGTCCAAAGGCCTGAGAACCAGAGGAGCTGATGCTATAGATCCAAATCCTAGGGATGGGGAAAATGAGATGAGATATCCCAGCACAAGCAGGCAAGGAGGAAACAAAAGGGATGAATTCCTGCTTTCTCGACCTTTTGTTCTGTTGAAGCCCTCAGCAGATTTGACAATGTCCACTCACTTTAGGCAGGGCAATGTGCTTTACTGAGTCTGCAGTTTCAAATGCTTATCCCGTCCTGAAACATCTCCACAGACACACCCAGAAACAATGTTTAACCAAATATCTTGGCATCCCATGATCCAGTCAAGTTGACACATAAAGCTAACTATCACAACCATAATTATAAAAAAGTTTGCAAACTTAATAAGGTTTAGCTCCTACTAATCACTGTTTATGTAATGAAGTGATCACACCTCTTTTCTTAGATTCCCTTCTTCAGCTACATGCTTCTCTCAGACTTCAGCTTTCTCATTAAAAATTCAGTGCTATTCCAACCTATCATCACCAGCATGCCAGATCTTTTACTTCGTGCTTCCTGACTAGAAAAATATTAACTGGTCCATGGAATCCATATTTCACCCAACACTACTAACAGTAAAGTTAGATACGGTAGTTATGTTTCCCATAGTTCATTTTTATACTTTGAGATTTATTAATATTACTGTTGTATCTTTTTCAGAACGTTCACTGTTGACATATAAAAATACTACTGATTTTCATATGTTGATTTTGTATCCTGAAGCTTAACTGAATTTGTTTATAAGTTTTAAGAGCTTTTTGGTGGAGTCTTCAAGTTTTTCCAAATATAAGATCACATAATCTGCAAACAAGAATAATTTGACTTCCTCCTTTGTAGTTTGGATGCCCTTTATTTCTTTCTCTTGTGATTGCTCTAGCTAGGACTTCCAGTACTATGTTGAATAACAGTGGTGACAATGGGCATCCTTATCTTGCTCCAGATCTTTGCAGAAAGGCTTTCAGTTTTTCCTTATTCACTATGATACTAATTGTGGATCTGTCATGTATAGCTTTTATTGTTTTGAGGTATGTTCCGCTATCAACAGTTTTTTGAAGGTTTTTTATCATGAAGGGATATGAAATTTTATCAAATGCTTTTTTAGCATCATTTGAAATGTTCATATGGTGTTTATCCTTCATTCTGTTGATATGATGTATCACATTAATTTGTGTATGTTGAAACATCCTTGCGTCCCAGGGATAAATCTGACTTTGTCATAATGAATGATCTTTCTAGTGTATTGTTGAATTTGGTTTGCTAGTATTTTGTTGAGGATTTTTGCATCAATATTCATCAGAGATTGTTTTCTTTTTTTTTTAATGTGTCTTTGTCTGGTTTTGGTATTGGGGTAATACTGGTCTTGCAGAATGAGTTTGGAAGTATTCCCTCCTCCTTTTTTATTTTTTGGAATAGTTTGAGTAGTACTGGTATTAATTCTTCTTAAATGTTTGGTAGAATTCAGCATTGCATCCATCAGGTCCCAGGCTTTTCTTTACTTGGAGACTTTAGTAAGGCTTTTGTCTCATTACTTGTCATTGATCTGTTCAGGTTTTGGATTTCTTCCTGGTTCAATCTTGATAGGTTGTATGTATCTAGGAATTTGTCTATTTCTTTTAGATTTTCCAATTTATTGGCATATAGTTGCTCATAGTAGCCACTAATGACCCTTTGAATTTCTGCAGTATCACTTGTAATGTCTCCTTTTTTATTTCTGATTTTATTTATTTGGATCTTCTCTCTTATTTTTAGTCTGGCTAAAGGTTTGTCAAATTTGTTTAACGTTTCAAAAAACCAACTTTTTGTTTCACTGATGTATTGTTTATTCATTTCAATTTCATTTATTTCTGCTCTGATCTTTATTATTTCTTCTAATTTTGGGTTTGGTTTGCTTTACTTTTCTGGTTCTTTAAGGTGCATTATTAGATTGTTCATTGCAAGTTTTTTCCTCCTTTTTGATGTATACACTTATTGTTACAAACTTTCCTCTTAGTACTGCTTTTGCTGTATCCCATAGGTGTTGGTATGTTGTGTTTCCATTATCATTTGTTTCAAAAATTGTTTCAATTTCCTTTTTAATTTCTTCACTGACCCACTGGTCATTCAAGAGCATATTGTTTAATTTCCATGTATTTGTATAGTTTCCAAAATTCATCTTATTATTTTCTATTTTTATTCCATTATGGTCAGATAAGATGCTTAATATTGTTATACATTTTTGGATGTTTTAAGACTTTGAATGTTTGTGACCTAACATATAATTTATCCTTGAGAATAATCTATGAACTGAGGAAAATAATGTGTATTCTGCAGCTCTTGGTTGAAAGGTTCTGTAAATATCTATCAGTTTCATTTGGTCTGTGGTGCAGAGTAAGTCTGATGTTTCATTGTTGATTTCTATCTGGAAGATCTGTCCAATGTTGAAAGTGGGGTGTTGAAGTCTCCAGCTATTATTGTACTGTGGCCTATCTCTCTCTTTAGCTCTAATAAGGTTGTATTGTGTATCTGGGTGCTCCAGTGTTAGGTGGATATATATTTAAAATTGTTATATTCTCTTGTTGAATTGACCCCTTTATCATTATATAGTGACCATCTTTGTCTCTTCTTATAGTTCATGTCTTGAAATCTATTTTCTCTGATATAAGTATAGTGACTCCTTCTTCTTTTTTTTTGGTTTGCATTGACATGAAATATCCTTTTCCATTTCTTTATTTTCAGTCTATGTGTGTCTTTGTAGGTGAAGTGTGTTTCTTGTAGGCAACAGATCAATGGGTCCTGTTTTTTCATCCATTCATCCAGCCTATGTCTTTTGATTGGAGGATTTAGTCCATTTACATTCATTGTTATTATCCATAAGTAAGGCCTCCTGCCATTTTGTTATTTTTTTTTGTGTGTGTGTGGTTTTATGGTGTTCTCTTCCTTATTTCTTTCCTTCCTGTCTTTCTCTAGCAAAGGTGATTTTCTCTGATAATATGCTTTAGTTTCTTGCTTTTTATTTTTTGTTTCTCCATTGTATGTCTTTTGGTTCAAGGTTACCATGAGGCTTGCAAATACTATCTTATAACCCATTATTTTAACCTGATACCAACTTAACACTATTTTCATAAACAAACAAACCAGTAAGAAGAAAACTAATAAAAGTCTACACCTTAACTTTGTACCCTACATTTTTTTTTTCTTTTCTGAGATGGAGTCTCGCTCTGTCACCCAGGCTGGAGTGCAGTGGCACGATCTCGGCTCACTGCAACCTTTGCCTACCGGGTTCGTGCCATTCTCCTGCCTCAGCCTCCCTAGTAGCTGGGACTACAGGCGCCTGCCACCACACCCAGCTGATTTTTCATAGTTTTAGTAGAGATGGAGTTTAACTGTGCTAGCCAGGATGGTCTTGATCTCCTGACCTCGTGATCCACCCGCCTTGGCTTCCCAAAGTGCTGGGATTACAGGTGTGAGTCACCACGCCTGGCTCCTGTACCCTACTTTTTAACTGTTTTTGTTTCTACTTATATCTTATTGTACTATGTCTTGAAAAGTTGTTGTAGTTTTGCCCCATAGCCACCACAGTGGGTAATGTGCTGAGTCTCACCTGAAGTCAGCAAGTCTCAGAGGCCCACCCAAGGCTCTTGATATAGTACCTGGGCCATGCTGCTGATTATTCAGGGCCCAAGGGCTCTTAAGTTAGTAGGTGATGAATACTGCCAGCACTGGGTCCTTTCCTTCAAGGTAGCAGGTTCTCTTCTGGCCCTGGGTATGTCTAGAAATGTCATCTGGGAGCTAGGGCCTAGAATGGCAGCCCTAGAACTCTGACCAGTGCCCTATCCTGTTGTGGCTGAGTTGGTATCCTAGATGCAAGACAAAGTCCTCCCCTCTCTTCCCTCTCCTCTCCTCAAGCAGAAGGAAGGGGTCTCTTTTGGAGCCTCAAGCTGTGGAGCCTGAGGTTAGCAGAGAGGTGATGCTAGCACTCCCTTGGTTGCCCCAGCTGTTGTTGCAGTATGTCTTGTGCTCCCCTAGTCCAATGTCTCTGGGCCTAGCTCAGCACTAGGATTCACCTAAGAGTTGTATTTCTTATGGCCTAGACTGCCTTTCATGTTTACTTGAAGACATAAAGTGTTGTAACCCTTGGTGGCGAAGTTCATAGGCACTCAATTTTGGACCACTGAGCTTGCTGATTCCCCCACTGGATAGGGCTAGTTCATATGCTGAGGTGGGTGAATATCAGCTGAGTTTGGTTTGGTTTTTCTTTCTGTTCTAACAGGAAAGCACTGAGTTAAATGCCTCATAATTGCTGTGTTTTTCCTTCCCCAGAGCCCAGAGATGCTCTTGGCACCACACTGCAGCATGTGATGGTGGGGGAGGTGTGGTATCAGTGATTCTGGACTGTTTTTTCTATTTCTTCAGTGATTCTTTCAATAATATAAAGTTAAAACCAGGTACTATGAGTGCTCACCTGATTTTTCCTTCTTATGAAACAATTAGTGGAGCTTTCTATTCTGTCATCTTGCTCTCAAATATGAGGTTTCTCTATTTGGGAGTTTGATTAAATGTCTTGAGGTAGTCTTATTTAGATTAAATCTGCTTGGTGTTCTGTAACCTTCTTGTACTTGGAAATTTATATCTTTCTCTAGATTTAGGAAGTTCTTTTATTATCCCCTTAAATAATCTATCCCTATGTCTTTCTCTAACTCCTCTTTAAGGCCAATAAGTCTTAGATTTGCCCTTTTTATTGTATTTTCTAGATTTTATTGGCATACCTCATTCTATTTTAGTCTTTTTTCTTTTTTGTGTATTTTCAAATAACCTGTCTTCAAGTTCATGCATTCTTTCTTCTTTATCACTTTCACTATTGGGAGACTCCGATGCATTCTTTACAATGTCAATTGAGTTTTTCAGCTTCAAAATTTGTGCATATTTTTTCAAAATTATTCCAATCTCTTTGTTAAGTTTATCTGATAGGATTCTGAATTTCTTCTCACTGTTAAACTGAATTTTGTTGAGCTTCCTCAAAACAGCTGTTTCGAATTCTCTGTCAGAAAGGTCATGCATCTCTCTCATTGATTGATTACCAGCACTGTATTTTGCTTGTTTTGTGAGGTCATGTTTTCCTGGATAGTCTTATCCAGGATAGTTCATCATTGTCTAGGCAATGAAGAGTTAGTTATTGTAGTCTTCACATTCTGGATTTGTTGTACCTGTTCTTCTTGGGAAGGCTTTCCAAGTATTCAAAGGGAATTGAGTGTGGTGGTCTAAGTCTTTGGTCACTACAGTCATACGTGCATTTAGGAGGCACTCCAAGCCCAGTAACGCTGACTTTTGCAGATACATACGGGTACCGCCTTGGTGATCTTGGGTAAGAACCAAGAGATTTCACTGTGTTACCAGACAGAGATTGTTGTTCTCTTCCCTTACTTTCCCCCAAACAGACCGTCTCTCTGTTCTGAGCTGGTTGGATCTGTGGGAGGGGTGACACAAACTCCCTTGTGTCCCCACCACTGGGACTGTGCTGAATCAGACCTGAAAGTCAGCATAATACTGGATCTCACCCAAGTCTTGTGGCAACCAGGCTGGCTACCACCAATGTTCTCTTAAGGACCAAGGGCTCTTTAGACAGCAGGTGGCTAATCTAGCCACATTTATATCCTTCCCTTCAGTATGGTGAGTTCCTCTCTGACCCAGGGCAGATCCAAAAACACTGTCCAGGAGCCAAGGCCTGAAGTCAGAAACCTCAAAAACCTTCTTGATGCTCTATTCTACTGTGGCTGAGCTGGCACTCAAGCCATGAGAAAGTCCTTCTCACTCTTCTCTTCTCTCTACTTTACTCAAGTAGGAGTCTCTCCCTGTGGCCACCAATGCCCCAGGCCCATGGCAAGTACTGCCTGGCTACTGCTGATGTTTACTCAAGGCCCAAGGGTTCTTCAGTCAGGTTGTGGTAAATGCTGCCATGCTTGAGTAGCACTGGGCTCCCTTCAGGGCAGTGGGCTCCCCTTTGGCCCAGGGCAGGTCCAGAAATTCCAAGCAGGAGAGAAGGCCTGAAACTGGGGCCCCTAGGGGTCCACCTGATGCTCTACCCCACTATGGCTGAGCTGGTATTGAAGCTGCCAGACAAAGACCCCTTTACTCTCCCCTCTCCTTTTCTCAAGCAGAAGAAATCTCTCCCTATGGCCACCACAGTTAGGAATGTGCCGAGTCACATCTGAAGCCAGCATGGCATTGGGCTCACATAAGGCCCATGGCAAGTACTGTCTGTCTATCATTGAAGTTTATTCAAGGCCTGAGGGTTTTTTAGACAGTAGGTGATGGATCCTGCCAGAACTGGGTCCTTCCTTTCAAGGGAGCAGGTTCCCCTCTGTCCCTATGTGTGTCTAGAAATTTTGTCTGGGGATGGAATGGAATGGAATGGAATGTGGCCTCAGGACTCTGCCTCTACTATGGTTAAGCTGATATCCAAATTGCAAGGCAAATCCCTGTTTACTCGCCTTTCTCTGCTCCTCAAGCAGAAGGAAGGAGTCTCTCCCAAAGCTGCAAGATGCGCTGCCTGGGGTTAGGGTAGGGATGATGCAAGCACTCCTTTGGCCACCTCAGCCAGTGTCTCACTAGGTCACATGCACACCAAGCCCACTGGCTCTGAGCCCAGCACAGCACCAGGACTTGCCCAAGAATTGCATTTCTTTTGGCTTAGACTTCCTTTCAAGTTTACTTAGAATCCCAGGGTACTTTAGCCTGCAGTGGTCAGACTAGACAGAACTCAGTCCTACCCACTGAGATTTATGATTTTCCTCTAGCTAGGGCTGATCTAAATTATCTCTCTGTGGACACCAGCTATATACTGCCTTTTGTTCCTCTCTGCTGTGACAGGGCAGCACTGTGTTCCAATGCAAATTCCCATGGTCACTGCGTTCTCCCTCCCCCAAGCACACAGTTTCTTTCTCTGTGCCACAAGGCTGTTGCCGGGCAATCGGGAAGGAGTGATGTCACCAATTCAAGAATGTCTTTCCTACCCTCTTCAGTTCCTGTTTCCTTGATATAATGTTAAATCCAGGTACTGTGATCACTCACCTGATTTTTTAATCTTATGATGGTGTTTTCTTGTATGGATAGTTGTTCAATTTGGTGTTCCTTTTGAGGGGGTGATCACTGGAGAATTCTGTTTGGCCATCTTGCTCCACCAGAATCCAGATATTATTATTACTAGATATTTCTTTTTTTTTTCTTTTTTTTGAGACGGAGTCTTGCTCTGTCACCCAGGCTGGAGTGCAGTGGCGCGATCTCCGCTCTCTGCAAGCTCCGCCTCCTGGGTTCACGCCATTCTCCTGCCTCAGCCTCCCGAGTAGCTGGGACTATAGGTGCCCACCACCACGGCCAACTAATTAAATTTCT